>NW_014040926.1:174969-349938 GCF_000001405.40 Homo sapiens
ATCTAGGTGTCTGGCTTTTCTTTAAAAAATTGGAAGACATGGCACCCTGGACCTGCATTTCCCCAAAGCAACAATCAGCTGCAGTGGGGTAGTGGCTGCCCCCTTCAGACAGGCACATACTTTCTAGTTTGCCATGATCTCCACTAGTCACCCCGTGTATGCATGTGCTCTTGATCCCCAGAGAATGTTGAATTTGCAAGGAAGTGCTCAATAGATGTGCTTGCCAAATCAATGAATGGATGAAAGAACGGAAGAGAAAAATGAAATAGAGAAGTAAATCATGCAGGAAACAGTCTGGGTAGGAGACAAATTAATGAGATTTGCTGCCTGGCACGGTGGCTCACACCTGTAATACCAGCACTTTGGGGGGCCGAAGAGGGTGGATCACAAGGTCAAGAGATCGAGACCATCCTGGCCAACATGGTAAAACCCCGTCTCTACTAAAAATACAAAAAATTAGGTGGGCATGGTGGCACATGCCTGTAGTCCCAGCTACTTTGGAGGCTGAGGCAGGAGAATCACTTGAATCCGGGAGATGGAAGTTGCACTGAGCCGAGATCGTGCCACTGCACTCCAGCCTGGCAACAGAGCGAGACTTCATCTCAAAAAAAAAAAAAAATTAATGAGACTTCCTTGTGTCCCTTTTGGTTTCCTACCCTCAGTACTGAACCAGCAGGAAATGGCACAGCTTCTGGAAGGACAAACAGATTCTGTTTGACTGACCTTCAGAGAAAGAATGCATTAGGGGAGGGAGCCAGGAGATTTCAAGACCATGAAGACAAAGTCAGGAGAGGAGTCTGGAGGCTCAAATCCTTACATGAATGTCGAGTGTTTTGATTACAGCATCAAACCTAGAATGTCATTAGTGACCAGTGTTTCATCTGGGGATAGGATGACGCTTCATTATCCAGGAAAGTCCTTCACTCTCCGGGGCACTTGGCATCTCTGGTTCCTGCCACGAAATGTCAGGAGTATCCCCCTCCTTCTCACCTTACCCCTACTTTGGCCCAAGTCATAGTGACAACCATAAACGCCTCCACACATTTCTAAATGACCCCTGCTGAGATCCACTGGTCTAGAACCAGGATGACACTGGAACCACCATTTCTAGGCCTGACCCACATCAGACATTGCTAATTGACTACAGAACTTTTTCTACAGCCTCAGACTCCCTCTCCAATCAGCACTCCAGATAGCTTCCATGCATCAGCTGGAGCTGGCTGCCATGTTGGAGGTGTGCAATACAGCCTAGGCCCGTTGAATCTTCATAAAACCTTAAACAACCTAATTTTTGTGTCTCTAATTTTCTTTCCAATGGCAATCTTACTGATACATTAGGCTTAAAATAATTCTGCAGCTCTCACACCTACTCTCCCAGAGGCCAACACCCTTATCATCCCACCAAGGTGCCCCAAAACCCAATGTGGCCCATGGACCCTAATCGTTCTCCTTGATCTGCTGCTTGGCCACTTCCTGGCCTGGCCTGCTCTCCTTGGCCCTGTTTCTCCTGCTCTGACCTCTGACCACTCTCTTGGACCACACTTCACACCCACTCCTTTATCCACAATCTTTCCTTGGTGCCCTCATCCAGGTTCTTCAGATGTCAGTTACACACTAATGACTCTACAATTTTTGTTTTGTTTTGTTTTGTTGTGTTGTGTTTTGTTTTGTTTTGAGATGGAGTCTCGTTCCATCCCCCAGACTGGAGTGCAATGGCGCAATCTCAGCTCATGGCAACCTCCGCCTCCCGGGTTCAAGTGATTCTTTTGCCTCAGCCTCCTGCCACCACGCCCACTAACTGTTGTATTTTTAGTGCAGACGGGGTTTTGCCATGTTGGCCAGGCTGGTCTCGAACTCCTGGCTTCAAGTGATCTGCCCGCCTCGGCCTCCTAAAGTGCTGGGATTACCGGCATGAGCCACCGCACCTGGCCTTGACTCTGCAATTTATATTTCCAGCTGAGACTTTCTTCCTGAGTTGTAGCCTCATATAATCCAACTGCATATTTGACTTCTCCAACTGAATGACTAACACACGCCTCAAATCCAACACATCGAGACCTGAACTCTGGATTTTCCACCCCAAGCCTGATTTGCATAAGCACAGTCTTCCCCATGCCAATTCATGGCAACTCCATCCTTGCAGATGCTCAAGTGAAAAATCTTGGACTCATCCCTGACTCCTCTGTTTCTCTCATTCCTCACATCCAATCTGTCAGGAAGTTCTGTCAGCTTTCCTGTCAAGATATATCCGGAAACCACCCCTTCACCCCACTTCCACCATTACCTCCCTGATCCAAGCCACCATGATATCTTGCCTGAATTACCGCAACAGCCTCCTGGCTGGTGTTGCTGTTCCTTCATTCCTGGCACAGCAGCCAGAGCCATCCTGATAAATTTGGTGACATCATTCCCGCCCTCAGTACCCTCCAATAGCTCCAGCTTTACTCATTCCCCCAACCCTCCCCTTCGCTTAAACTGCTCCAGCCCTCAGCCACTTCACTGTTCCTTGACTCTGCCAGGCACACCCCCACCTCAGGGCACTTGGCTTGGAATGACCCCAGTATCTGCTTGGCTAAATCCCTCTTTCAAGCTTTTGCCTAACGATCACTTCCTCGATGAGGACTTTTCTGACAACTCCATGAATATCCTTCCCCGATCCTCTTCCCTCTCCTCTTTTGATTTCCACAGGACTTGTCACCTTCTGAACTTTACCTGTCTCCCCCTACTTAGAATAAAGGCCCCCATCACTGCAGGGATTTTTGTCTCTTTTGTGCATGTCTGTATCCCTGGCACCTAGGATAGTTCTTGACACATAATAGGCCCTCAATAAATATTTGATGACTAAATGACTTGATGATTTATGCTAATTTTGGGTAGACATCCTAGCCAGTTCAGCCCAAATCCAGAGAGAGCCCATTCCAGGTATAGGCTTTCTTTCTTTTTCTTTCTTTTCTTTTCTTTTTTGTTTTGTTTTGTTTGTTTTGTTTTTGAGATGGGGTCTCACTCTGTTGCCCAGGTTGGATTGCAGTGGCGCGATCTCGGCTCACTGCAACCTCTGCCTCCTGGGTTCAAGCGATTCTCCTGCCTCAGCCTCCCGAGTAGCTGGGATTACAGGTGCCCACCACCATGCCTGGCTAATTTTTGTATTTTTAGTAGAGGCGGGGTTTTGCCATGTTGGCCAGGCTGGTCTCAAACTCCTGACCTCAAGTGATCCGCCTGCCTCGGCCTTCCAAAGTGCTGGGATTACAGGCATGAGCCACTGTGCCCAGCCTAGGTATCGGCTTTCAAGACCTCTGTCCCCACTGGGTTCAATCGGACCTTGAGACTGGTCCCCTGACAGTGATGGGGCAACAGCAACCAGTCAGCCACCCCAGGGAAGGAGCCACACCCCTGATTCGGGGGCACACTTGCTAAATGGATGGATGAATGAATAAATGAATGAATACATGATGAATTGAAGAATTGACCACAGAGAGATCAAAGGCACATCCAGAGGGTCCCCCAGGGCTGAAATGTGGAAAGACTGTGTGGGTCTTAGAATACGGGGGCAACATAATGTAGGAGGTTTCTTCCTTCCCTCCTTTCCTCTGCCTTGGGCTTCCTCCATAAAAACAGAGAAGGGGACACAGGCTGAATAGGACACTGGGATGGAGAAAGCTGTGGTTTCCTTTACCTTTCCACCGATGGTCTTTTTGGAGAGGAGGAGGCAGAAGACTTGGAGTCCACAGAGTCTCTCCTGAAAGAAGAAAATTGGCAAGGAGACTGCTTTGTAGACTAGCATCAGTACTGACAGGAAGGTGGGGAGAAAGCATCCTGGGAAAAGGCCAGCTGGCTTGAGGCTAAGGAAGCCCACCCGGGCCACAGCTACTTGGGAGAGGGAGCTCCAGGCGGTGCCGGCTGGTCATGACCTTCACCTACCCTCCATCAAGTGAACCAATACAAGGGAAGGAAGTCGATATCTGCCAAGGGCCTAACACATGCCATGTATGTGACATGGGTTGTGTTGCTCATTATTTACAACTATTCTCAGCAGGTCCCTGTCCTCCTGGCTGTCAGGCAGGCCTTAGCTAACTGGAGTCCACAGAGACTGGATTCCTGGAGTTGTCTGTACTCATCTGGAACCAGAGAAACAGAGAAATCAGCTTCAGCCTCCCCGGCAGGCACTTTAGGAGGAGGAGAGGAGAAACACATGGGCCTTGGGGATAGAAGAGCTGAGTTAAAATAGCAATCAAAAAAGCAGGAGACAAAATTAGATGCGGACTGTGCCTAAAGTCACGCAAGAAAACCAATGCATAGGAGGAAAAGCAGATCTAAAGAAAATATACTCAAATGCTAACCACTGTTACAGCTAGGGTGATGGGATTAAAGGTGATTTTTTCCCAATTTTTCCAAAATGCATTCAGCTACATTATTTTTATGATATATAATATAGTTATTCCTTTTACTGGTTTTAAAAAATCAATCTGTTTGTTAATTGCAAACCCCACTCCCCATCTCACTTACCCTGCCTTCCTTTTAATTCCATAGCACGTGTCACCTTCTAGCATACTACATAATTGACTTTTTTTCTTTGAGACAGAGTCTCACTCTGTCACCCAGGCTGGAGTGCAGTGGTGCTATCTCGGCGGCTCACTGCGACCTCCACCTCCTGGGTTCAAGTGACTCTCCTGCCTCAGCCTCCTGGGTAGCTGGGACTTACAGGCGTGTGCCACCATGCCTAGCTAATTTTTATATTCTTAGTAGAGAGGGGGTTTCACCATGTTGGCCAGGCTGGTCTCAAACTCCTGACATCAGGTGATCTGCCCACCTCGGCCTCCCAAAGTGTTGGGATTACAGGTGTGAGCCACTGTGTCTGGCCAATTTACTTATTTATATTTAATTATATTTATTGTCCGACACCCCATGTAAATTCCACAAGAGCAGCATTTGGTGGGTTTTGGTCACTGTGGTGAACATTGTCTGTGCTCAGCCCAGTTTCCCTTGGGTGCTCACTCTCTCAGTGCCTCTGGACCCAAGAGCTGCCTCCTGCAAGCTCCCCAGGGCCTCTGTCTGAGGGAGTTCTTCCCCACAGCTAGGCTGGCTGGAAGTGCTGGTCACTAATTAATGACCCCAGGAACAGCCCTCCACCAGACACATGGGAGAGGGGAAGAGAGGTCCTCATTCACATGCCCCTGCACTCCCACAACAGGCCCTGGGAGTTCTTCTGTGGGGCTTCTCCCTAGTGCACCTTGGGGATAGACAATGCAAGCAGGAACCATAAGCTGGAATTCCTACAGTGGGAGAGGGGAGAGAAGACACGAGACTCCACCCTGGAGAACCACTTTCTGACTCTTCCTCATTGCTTTTCTTTTTAGAATAAATCAGAAATACTCCGCAGTTATTGCAAATGACTGTTATGAAAACTGTTCAGGAACATAAAAAAATGCTTAGAATACAATAGCAAGATAAATAAAAAGGTGACATATTAGTCGATACTAGAGCTAGAGCATCAGGAAAAGTCTAAAGATTAGACCGTAAGAAAATAGAAACCAGCTGGGCGCAGTGGCTCACACCTGTAATCCCAGCACTTTGGGAGGCCAAAGTGGGCAGATCACTTGAGTCAGGAGTTCAAAACCAGCCTGGCCAACATGGTGAAACCCCATCTCTACTAAAAATACAAAAATTAGCCGGGCATGGTGGTGTGCACGTGTAATCCCAGCTACTCGGAGGCTGAGGCAGAGGAATCACTTGAACCTGGGAGATGGTGGTTCCAGTGAGCTGAGATTGTGCCACTGCACTCCAGCCTAGGCAACAGAGGGAGACTCCATCTCAAAAGAAAAGAAAAGAAAGAAAATAGAAACCATGTTTCAAAGACCTGTATTACAGGTACTTCATCAGTTTGTAAGGCATGAGTCCAAAACAGCTAGCAGTTTGGTTCTTGAAAGATCCCTGAATTGTATGCAGTTACTTGGACAAGTGGGTTAGGACCTTATCATGAGACAGATGGAAGGAAATACTCCAGCACAATATTTTCTCTAGCAACAAATGAGATGTGGTGATCAGGGGACAGGAAAGTGTACCAAATGGGTGATGTCTGTCAAGATGACATGGCACAGAATATCAGCATTCTAGCCAGGCCCTGGAGATGTGGCACATCAGTGAAAAAGGGGTCTGGAATTTATGTTTATTTTTATTTATTTATTTTGAGATGGAGTCTCAATCTGTCACCCAGGCTGGAGTGCAGGGGCACCATCTTGGCTCACTGCAACCTCCATCCCCTGGGTTCAAGAGATTCCCATGCCTCAGCCTCCCGAGTAGCTGGGATTACAGGCACGCGCCACCATTCCCGGCTAATTTTTTGTATTTTTAGTAGAGATGGGGTTTTGCCATGTTGGCCAGGCTGGTCTCGAACTTCTGACCTCAAGTGATCTGCCTGCCTTGGCCTCCCAAAGTGCTGGGATTACAAGCATGAGTCACTGCACCCAGCCAGAGGTCTCGAATTTATGCAGAAGAAAAAGTAGACTATGGTGAATACACGGATAAAAATAATGGGAGGCGACAAGCAACAACAATCATAGTGAGGCAGAAATTTAAAAATAAATATGCATTCATTCACCCCAAGAAAAGTAACAGGCAAGGCAAGGGTTAAAAAGAAAAGAACAGGTTTTCCTCTGCCTAGCAAGCTCACTTCAAGGACAGTTATAAGATAATGCTGTTTGGGAAACCAAGGCCAAAGGAATGGGCTCCAGACACCCCTCCCCTCCAGAGCAAGGTTGAAGGAAAAAAAGAGAGAAAGACAAATTCCTTTACTATTACTCCTTTCCCTGACTTCTTAAGCATGACTATGTTTTACAAATGTCTGTATTTAGCCAGTTCTTGTTTTTCTTTCAATGCAGCTACAAGGCTGCCAGCTATGCAAGGCCACAAGTTATGCTATGCTATAGATTATGTGACCTATCATATGATTAACTGCTTTTGTTTTGCTTCTGTAAGCCTGCTTGTAAAAACCCCGCTCTGTCTTTGCTAAAATGCTCAGCTGTTTAGATACGAATCCACTGAGCCGGTGCATACCTTAAATAAACAACCCTCCTGCTCTCCTATTGGTCTCTCTGGTCCTCAGTTTCCTGCAATGATAGCTGATAGTAGGATATTTCTGAGTGACCAGACAAAGGAGAAGGCATAGAATGGGTGATTCTTCTTCGGCCATTGTTTGCTACAGTCTCATTTCCAAATCACGTATAATCTTTATAGTTCCTAAGGACAAAAATTCAAATACTGTTTTATATTTAAAAAAATAATTTGCACCCATAGTCCCAGCTACTCAGGAGGCTGAGGTGAGAGGATCACTTGAGCCTAGGAGTTGCAGGCTGCAGTGAGCTGTGATTGCGCCACTGCACTCCAGCCTGGGCAACATGGTGAGACTCTGTCTCAAAAAAAAAAAAAAAAAAAATGGCCGGGCATGGTGGCTCACACCTGTAATCCCAGCACTTTGGGAGGCTGAGGTGGGCGGATCACTTGAGGTCAGGAGTTCGAGACCAGCCTGAGCAACATGGAGAAACCCCTTCTCTACTAAAAAAAAAATACAAAAATTAGCTGGGCATGGAGGCACATGCCTGTAATCCCAGCTACTCGGGAGGCTGAGGCAGAAGAATCACTTGAACCTGGGAGGCGGAGGTTGCTGTGAGCTGAGATCGTGCCATTGCACTCCAGCCTGGGCAACAAGAGTGAAACTCCATCTCAAAAAAAAAAAAATTGTACAGTCTGCCTAAAGGAATGGAAAAATTATGTATGTAGTTAAACCAGGCCTGGGAGAGGAGAGGAAGAAAAATAAAAGCTGCTTAATTTGTCTGATGTGCACAAATATTTCCCATGCTTATTCTAAGTTTCACTAATGTGGTTACAGTGTTTGTATAATGAATTATCATTAAGAAAACTAAAAAGGAAGGAAATTAATTAACTGAGCTGAAATAGGACCCCCGACAACTGGCTTCTCCCAGCAGAATGAGGAGATACCTCTCCATTTTCTGCTCAGCACCAGCGACAGCTTCATTTCTGAGCCCCATGGCTGTGAAAAGTGAGTGGGCATAACAATTTAGTGTCCCAGGAAAATGTATAGTGCATTTCAAATTTTATTAACAAAATATAAATATAAATGTACATATGAATGTTCTTTTTTTCTTTTTTTTTAGACTGAGTCTCACTCCTCACCCAGGCTGGAGTGCAGTAGTGCGATCTCGGCTCACTGCAACCTCCTCCTCCCAGGCTCAAGTGATCCTCCCACCTCAGCCTCCCAAGTGGCTGAGAACACAGGTGCACGCCACCACGCCCGGCTAATTTTTTTTTACTTTTAATAGAGATAGGGTTTCGCCATTGGTCTCTAACTCCTGAGCTCAAGTAATCCACCTGCCTCCACCTCCCAAAGTGCTGGGATTACAAGCATGAGCCACTTTGCCCAGCCCATATGTATGTTCTTTTTGTTTTAAAGACAGAATCTCGCTCTGTCATCCAGGCTGGAGTGCAGTGGGGTGATCTTGGCTCACTGCAACCTCAGCCTCCCAAATTCAAGCGATCCTCCTGCCTCAGCCTCCCAAGTAGCTGGGATTACAGGTACCCACTACCATGCCCAGCTAATATTTGTATTTTTAGTAGAGACAGGGTTTCACCATGTAGGCCAGGCTGGTCTTGAACTCCTGACCTCAAGTGATCTGCCCGCCTTGGCCTCCCAAAGTGCTGGGATTAAGGGCGTGAGCCACTGAGCCTGGCCTGGCCTGTATGTTCTTAAAAAACTACAAAGATATACATTAAAATGTTAACAATGGTTATTTCTGTTATTTTCTTCTTGTGCTTGATTTTCTAAACTTTTTACACTAAACACACCTTGCTACTGAAATGAATACATTTATGTACATGAAAAGGTTACAAAATAGTATACAGAGTGTAATTCAATTTTATTAAAACAAATAGGTATTTTATACCTATTTATAGGTAGTAATGCATAGGAATAGTCTAGCAGGATGTATATATATATATATATATATATAAATTTTATATGTATATATACACACAATTATATGTGAGTGCTTGTTTCTAGATAATAAATGATATTTTATTTTACTTTATTTTATTTTATTTTTTGAGACAGAGTCTCATTCTGTAGCACAGGCTGGCGTGCAGTGGCACGCTCTCAGCTCACTGAAACCTCCGCCTCCTGGGTCCCGGTTCAAACAATTCTCCTCCTCAGCCTCCCAAGTAGCTGGAATTACAGGCATGTACCACCATGCCCAGCTAATTTTTGTATATTTGGTAGAGATGGGGTTTCACCATGTTGGCCAGGCTGGTCTCGAACTCCTGACCTCATGATCTGCCCGCCTCAGCCTCCCAAAGTGCTAGGATTATAGGCATGAGCCACCGTGCCTGGCCCTTATCTTTTGTTTTGTTTTGTTTTGTTTTTAAGACGGAGTCTAGTTCTGTCGCCCAGGCTGGAGTGCAGTGGCACGATCTTGGCTCACTGACACTTCTGCCTCCTGGGTTCAAGTGATTTCCTGCCTCAGTCTCCTGAGTAGCTGGGATTACGGGGCACCCGCCAACAGGCCCAGCTAATTTTTGTATTTTTAGTAGAGACAGGGTTTCACTGGGTTGGCCAGGCTTGTCTTGAACTCCTGACCTTGTGATCCACCTGCCTCAGCCTCCCAAAGTGCTGAAATTACAAGCATGAGACACTGCACCCGGCCTATTTTCTTATTTATTTGTATTTTTAAAACTTTCTACAATGAGCAAGTAATTATCTGTATTATAAAAAATACAAAATCGCTAAACTAAGACAACTAAAATATAATTAAAGACTATTACAAATAAAACATTTTATTTTTAAGAAGAAAGAACGGAGAAAATGATGTCTGTGTTTCAGGCCATAATACTGAGTCTCAGAGAAGAAGGCCATAAGTGACAAGTTCAGCCCAGAACCTGGCTTTCTGCTTTTTCATTGTTACCTCTCCTACACCTGTTGTTCTCATACAGGCCTTTAAAAGAAATCCCTTTACTGTTCTTTTTTTTTTTTTTTTTTTTTTTTTTTTAAACAGAGTCTCACTCTGTTGTCCACGCTTGAGTGCAGTGGCGGGATCTCAGCTCACTGCAACCTCTGCTCCCGGGTTCAAGTGATTCTCCCGCCTCAGCCTCCTGAGTGGCTGGGACTACAGGCGTGCACCACTACCCCTGGTTAATTTTTGTATTTTTAGTAGAGACGGGGTTTCACCATCTTGGCCAGGCTGGTCTCGAACTCCTGACCTCAGGTGATCCACCCACCTCGGCCTCCCAAAGCGCTGGGATTACAGGCATGGGCCACTGCGCCCAGCCTCTTTACTGTTCATTCAGTGGGGCTTGGGGATGGAGCAAACAAAAACAAAAACTGCATGTGTTCAGGCTGCCACTTTTACCTGGATGCCTACACTCCCCATGTGACAGATTAGTCCCAAATCCCATTTGGTCCCTCCCCAGTAGTTCAGCCTCTAGTCCTTCAACTTCATCTCATAAGAGCTCTCCTGCTCCTGGTCCTTCATTTGCCAAGGTTCTCATAACCACACAGGTGCTCCAGACATGGCCAGACCAGCCAGGGCATGAACAGGAGGTAATCCACAGGGCAGGGGACCATGCTGCTACAAATGGGCTAGCAGTATTCAGTAAATGTTCACTCCGTGCTAGGCACTGTGGAGATGGTCAGGGATTCCCCGAGCCAAACTTCTAACCCCTTTGGGAAAAGAAAACACACTCGTGTGAAAAGTTAGATGCCAATTAGGGTTTTTCCAAGTAGGATACACTTGCAAAATGAGCAATGGAAAGGAACAGAACATAGAAAATGTGACAAAACCATTTCACAGGCATTACCTTTTAAAAAGCAGGCTATTAAAATTGGGGATGACTATAGAAAACAAGTCAGAGAACAGAAAGAAAAGCCATACACTAACTCATCAAGAGTGATTGTCTTTGGGTGGTGGGAATGTGGGTGATTTTTTTTTCTACTTTTCTACATTTTCCTTTTTTTTTTTTTTTTTTTTTGTGAGACGGAGTTTCGCTCTTATTGCCCAGGCTGGAGTGCAATGGTGCAATCTTGGCTCACTGCAACCTCCGACTTCCAGGTTCAAGTGATTCTCCTGCCTCAGCCTCCCGAGTAGCTGGGATTACAGGCATGTGCCACCACACCCAGCTAATTTTGTATTTTTAGTAGAGATGGGATTTCTCCATGTTGGTCAGGCTGGTCTCGAACTCCCAACCTCAAGTGATCCGCCCACCTCGGCCTCCCAAAGTGCTGGGATTACAGGGGTGAGATACCGTACCCGGCCTTCCATTATTTTCTACAACAGATTTTTATCACTCTTATTTGTTTAGTTTTTAAAAGCACTATTATTATTTTTTGTTTCAAAAGCAGTACAGGATCATTGTGAAAAAACCCAACAATTCAGATTTAAAATTTTTATTGTATAATACAGAAAGTAGAGATCCTTTTAATTTATAATATATGTCTTGGTTTTTGTTTGTTTGTTTTTGAGACAGGTTCTTGCTCTGTTGCTCAGGCTGGAGTGCAGTGGCGCAATCTCAGCTCACTGCAACCTCCATCTCCCGGGCACAAGCGATTCTCCCACCTCAGCCTCCAGAGTAGTTAGGATTACAGGTGTGCGCTACCATGCCTGGCTAATTTTTGTATTTTTTGTAGAGGCGGAGTTTTGCCATGTTGCCCAGGCTTGTCTCAAACTCGTGGGCTCAAGTGATCCTCCCGCCTCAGCCTCCCAAAGTGCTGGGATTACATGTGTGAGCCACTGCGCCAGGTGCAATGAATCTTATAAGTGGCTATTGCCTTTGCTAGCATCTTGGAATCTTTGTCTTTGGGACTGTTACAAGATTCGGGATGTGAGGCTTATACCCGCTGTGGTCTTGTTTCCCCGCACCTAGGCTGTTGCCTGGGTGGGCCAGAGAAGAGCTCTAGACTGCCGTGCGGTCTCCTATGGGAACTCTCTGTAGAGAAATGCTGGAGGCCCTCCCGCAGACGCACTCTTTCCTGTCCCTGCATCCTTCTAGGCAAAGCCAGTGCCATTTATGTCCTATTTGGGTCTTGTGAGTCTAACATCTGGTTGAGCCAAAGAAGACCCCCAGAGGGGGCACTGCAGGAGATAATACCAATATCTTCCTCCCCAGGATGAAAGGTTTAAATGAGATAATATACACTGAGTTGCTGTCAGAGGACGTGACAAGTGTCAGCTCCCTTCTCTCCATCCCAAAAAAGAATACCTGGTTTTGGGGTCTTCTCGTTTTTTCCTTGGTGGAGAAAGGCCTGCTTCTGGCTTCCAGTCTGAACACTCAAGCCCTTTTTCCTTCTTCTTTGCCTTTTCTCTTTCCTCTCCTTTTTCTCCTTTTGGGGGTCCAGGGGAGTCTGAAAACAAAAGGGTGGCATTGTCCCTCAGCTAAGCTCTGTCTCAGCAGAACCCAGCATGACTTAGTGGGGAGAGAGCAAAGGGCAGGGACGAGGACAGCTGCACACACACTCCCAACACACACACAAACACATTTACACACAAATGCACAAACAACAGGAACGTGTGTACAAATACACAGTCTCACATGGGGACATTAATACATTGGCAAACACATCTCTGCACATATTAAGACAAATGTGTGCATGTAGACATGTACTATATAGACAAATGCATGAGAGCACAAACACGTAAGTGGCACATGTACACAAAACTCACAAGTCTACAAATCTTGCACTTGTGTACACAAACATTGGCAGTCCCCCACTAGCTACCTCCCGGATCCAGAGGCCATCTGTCACTGATTAAGTCACTCAACAGACATACACTGAGTGCTGGCTATGAGCCAGGCCCAGTCCTGTCCCAAGTGCTAGGAGAAAAACAGGGCTCAAGACAACCTTGTCCTCTCTCACCTAGCAGCCGCTTCCAGTTTTTGATAAGGACTTTGGCCAAGGACACCACCTCCTTGTCTGAGCAGTGCTTGCGGACCCCATTAACAGCAACTCCAATCCTGGTTGTCTGCAAAGTGAGAGGGTTAAGGCATAATCTGGGAATGGATACACAGGAATGGCTGCCATCATTGGCAGATCCTGCCCCAGCTCTACCACCACCTCCCCTTCCAACCTGGACCCCCAGAGTCCTAGCCCTGACTCCTGGCTGAGGTCAGAACCCCACTACTGTAACTAAGGCCCTGCTCTGCACGAGGCCGAGGGCCCAGGGCTAAGCCTGACATGGAGGATATCTGTAGCTTTGGTGAAACCTGAACCTAGGGTTGGGGGTGGCACTTGGCTGACTGTCAGGACCCCTCCCATTCCCAACCCTCTAGTGTCTATTTTTTTGAGATGGAGTCTCGCTATGTTGCCCAGGCTGGAGTGCAGTGGTGCAATCTCAGCTCACTGCAACCTCCACCTCCCAGGTTCAAGCGATTCTCGTGCCTCAGCCTCCTGAGTAGCTGGGATTATAGGTGTGCATCATCGTGCCCAGCTAATTTTTGTATCTTTAGTAGAAACGGGGTTTCACCATGTTGGCCAGGCTGGTCTCGAACTCCTGACCTCAGGTGATCTGCCTGCCTCGGCCTCCCAAAGTGATGGGATTACAGGTATGAGCCACCGTGGCCAGCTCACTCTAGTGTCTTTGAGCTCCAGTTTCAACTGAGACAGCAGCTCCGGCTATGAGACCTTGCATCTGTCTGTGCTGATTTTTCAGGGCCAGGAGCTTTTGGTAAATCTGGGGACTTTAAGGGCTACACAGGGATTTTAAATGGGGGCTTTTCCCTCTCCCTGGATCATTGGCCTCTTGGATCCCACAGGCCCAGGGCCTTGGGAATTGGGGTATTCAAGAAAAGCGAACCAGTCTTGCTCCAAGGCCCAGAGGTCCCCTACACCTAGAAGATACCCTCTCCGCCCCCGAGATGCCCCTGTGTCCCCCTCAGTCCCTCCCTGGGAGGTCTCCACCTCAAGATCCCCTCCCCACAGGCCCCCCTCAGAAATTCCTCCCAGACTCCACCTTCCCCCACCAGGGGTCTTTCCCTCCCCCACCAGCTCTCCCCCCAGGCACTGTCCCAAGGCTTCCCACCCCCGCCCCACCTGTAGTAGCTGGATGGACATCTGGCAGCTGTGCAGCTTCTTCAGAAGGTCCAGGGCCCCTTCCTGTGGGAGGCCACAAGGTGAGGACTGGGGCCTGGGTCCTGACCAGGCTTCTCTGACTATTGTGTGGTCTTGGTACAGAGAGCAGGAGGATACAGACAGACATGTGGCCGAAGGACAGGCAAGGGGCAGAAGGAAGGAGAGAGACGAGAAACAATCTGTCCTAGGTGGTGCTCTAACTTCATCCCCCGCCACCTGCTGGGTTCAAACCCTCTGAGCCAGGCTCCTGACCTCCAGCCTTTGGTTCTGCTGTGCCTCTCCCCAGGAATGCCCTCCCCCTTCCCCATCTTTCCTCCCAAATGAATTCCTTCCTGGCTTATTGTTGCTCGTGTGCCTGTAGCGTCCTTCCCTTACCTCCCCACTGTGAACTTCGCAGGGTGAGGACTGGGAGCCTTTTAAAAAACAAAACAGAACAGTTTGGCCAGCATGGTGGCTCACACCTATAATTCCGGCACTTTGGGAGGCTGAGGTGGGCGGGTCACTTGAGGCCAGGAGTTCAAGACCAGCCTGGCCAACATGGTGAAGCCCCATCTCTATTAAAATACAAAAATTAGCCAGGCGTGGTGGCGCATGCCTGTAATCCCAGTTACTCAGGAGGCTGAGGCAGGAAAATCGCTTGAGCCCAGGAGATGGAGGTTACAGTGAGCCAAGATCACACCACTGCACTCCAGCCTGGGTGACAGAGCGAGACTCCAACTCGAACAAAACAAAACAAACAAAAAACAGCTTTTTTGAGGTATAATTCACATACAATAACTGCACACTTTGCAGTGTAAAATTTGATAAGTTTCAACATACGTGTACACCCATGGAACCCTCACCACAATCAAGATAAAAGCACAGCCACCAGCCCCAAAAGCTTCTTCCTGTCCCCTTTCTAATCCATCCCTCCCCATCCCCAATCCTAAACAACCACAATTCTGCCTTCTGTTACTATAGTTGACCTTGTATCTTTAAGGATTTTATGTAAAGAGTATGTAGGGCAAAAACCCTTTTTTATCTGGCTTATTTCGGCATAATGATTTTGGAGACTCATCCATGTTGTCTCGTGGATCAGTAGTTCCTTTTTATTACTGAGTGGTTTCCACTGTATGTATGTACCACAGTTTGCCTGGCATTTTTTGAGACAAGATCTCACTCTGTTGCCCAGGCTGGAGCGCAGTGGCACAATCACAGTTCACTGCAGCTTCGACTTTCCAGGCTCAGGTGATCCTCCCACCTCAGCCTCCCGAATAGCTGGGACCACAGGTATGCACCACCACATCTGGCTAATTTTTTGCATTGTTTCGTAGAGATAGGGTTTTGCCATGTTGCCCAAGCTGGTCTCAAACTTCTGGCCTCAAGTGATCCTCCTGCCTCGGCCTCCCAAAGTGCTGGGATTACAGGCGTGAGCCACCACACCCAGTCTACCACAATGTTTTAAATTCATTCACCGGTTGATGGGACTTATGGATAGGTTCCAGTTTGGGGCTGCTAGAAATAAAGCTTCTAGGTACATTCATTTCAAGTCTTTGTGTGAACAGGTACTTTAACTTCTCTCGGGTAAAGAGAACCGTTCTAATCTCTGAGAACTTAGGGCTCAGCAGAGAGTCCAGTGCTCCCTGAGTGGATGAACTTGTGCAGAACTAAAGCAGAAAGAAGGCAGGAGGCAGAAAAAGGCTTAGGTTTGAAAATCTGTGAGCTGCCAGGCCCTGGACACCCTCCGACCCATTTCAGCCTTCTCCTTTCCCCCAGCCCCTTCCTAGAAGCCATACCTGCCTGCTGTCCTGAGATCAGTTCCCTGGGGAGCACCAGGGGACGGTGTCCTGTATGTTCCTATCCTTGGCCCACAGTTCATGGTTCCAGCTGCCAATCCCCACCCTGGCAGGACCTGGACCATGTCCTAAGAGCTGCCCTCTGTCAGTCCTTAGCCTCCCTGAGAACTTGGGTTCACAGTAGGTTTTCAGAAGCGTGACCTGCAGATGTGTGTGTATGTGAACTTGGGGGTACACAACTCCAAGTGTAACATTAATTAAAGGCTTGCTATGTACTAGGCACTCTTCTAAGTTTTTTACCTGTATTATCTCATTTAACATTCACAATGGCCCTATCGGGTAGGTCCTGTGTATTATTCCCATTCTTACAGAATTATTATCCTGTGTTCACCAAAGAGCAATCCAAGAAAGAGAGAGGTTAAATAATTTTCTCAAGGTCACATGCTTTATAAGGAGCCAAGTTGGGATTCAAACTCAGTCCTTTTGGGCTCTAACCACTATACAAATTGTGTTAGCATGGGCGCAGATCTGTCTAGACATACACAATCATGGAATATCAACATGGGTAAGTGCAGTGGTGTGCTGGCCAACGTTTAACAACCAGTTCTCAAGGAAAAAAAAAAAACTGACCTGTAGTGTTTGCCAATTTCTGTGGTGTAAACACTCATCCCATGGCCAATTTCAAGCTACCAACATGCTGTCACTGAACTGAAGGAAGTTTTGGGAGGAGACGTACACTACCATACCATTATATAATATTTCCACTGTACAGATAACAATAGAAGTAAATTATCTCTGACCATACATGACAGTACAATGTAGTAAAACAATCAGGAAGTGATTATTTTGGAGGATTCCTTACCTTTGTTTTTAATATAATTTATTTATTGTAAGCAGATAATGTAGTTTTTTGAAACAATTGCTGTGTTTAACCACCAGGTTGCAAAATTCCTGAAAACGCAACAATCTGTGTTAAGCCAGTTCCAGCTCTCCACTGGGTGTATGCCTCGTGTGTCACAGCTGTATAACTGGGTCATATTGGAGGAGAATAGCCATGAGCCTGGATTGTAGCTGGATAAACAAAGCCTTGTGCAAATGTTGCTGGGTGTATCTCTCTGAACATACAAATGGGTTCTGTAGCCAGTAGTATCTCTGGTCTAAGTGTGCAGCTGTGAATATGCAGCTCCGGGCACAGCTGTGTCTATTTGGCTTTGTGGGATGACGCCTGTGTTATAAGATCTGAATGTATAAATGTGGCTGTTTGCTAAGTCTGTAGCATTGCATGTCTGGGTGTAGCTGTGCTGCGTGCATACGTGTGTGGCTGTCTTTGTGTATCATTCTATAACTATAATGGTCAATGTGGGTCATATGGGTCAGTATGCTTGTCATGTTGGTGTCAGTAGCCGTGTCTCATACGCAGTTAGGTTCAGTTGCTTGTTTAACTACTGTGTTGTGGCCACATGTTATAGCTATGTGTGTGTATGTAGCTGTGACCGTAGGCACTTGGTTGCATGTTTGAAGTTGCTTCTGTTAGTGCATGCTCAGAGGATGTGACAAAGCCTTAAGTGGCTGAGACTTCAGCAACCGGCAGTAAACCCCGGGCCTGAGCTGCAACGTGGAGGATCCGTCTTATTACAGGAAGTATGTCCTCCTCTGCCTAACCACTGCTGGGCGGGTCCACTTTCACTCCCAGAGCAGGCCCCACCTTTCTCGGCCAGACGCCCAGAGCTCCATGCCCACCCAGACACTGCCGAGAGCCCAGGCGCAGACGTGGCTGTAAACTGGCTCCATGCTGCAGGGACCCTGCGGCCAGACTTGCATCTTTTCAGGGGACAGCTCTGGGCACTTCCACAGGAATCCATCTCCAAAAGACACCATTTCCTCTTCCCATTTCACAGAAGAGGAAACTCGAGGTCCAGAAAGGGAAGGTTGAGTGGCTTTTGCCTAGGGCCATAAAAGGAGTGAGGGGGAGGCCAGGGCAGGTCCCGTCCTCTTCAGCCAGAGCTCTATCCCAAGCAGCCTGCCTCTCCTCCGGTCTCTAGGCGTCCCCACCCT
The DNA here is from genome assembly GCF_000001405.40 of Homo sapiens. Classification (NCBI taxonomy): domain Eukaryota; kingdom Metazoa; phylum Chordata; class Mammalia; order Primates; family Hominidae; genus Homo; species Homo sapiens. The sequence continues at coordinate 192,925 of NW_014040926.1, forward strand.
ACCCCTCTTACCCAGGGGCCCAGAATTTCTTTCCTGGCCCAAGCTTGGGGGTCAGTAAGGAGCTGGGCTGGGATAACCCGTCTATTTGAACTGGAATTTGGCTCAGAATCCCTGGCTGCGCTCTGCCAACCCCAGCTGAGAAAATGCTCCCCCAAGACTTGTGGCTCAGTTGTACTGAGGATTGTGGAGGAGTCTGGAACGGGGAGTGCATGGAGGTTGGGAGTGTCAGGTGAGAAGCTCCCAGCACTCTGCAGGTTTGTGCTGTATCTTTCTGTGTTGGACCTGGCTGCGTAGAAGCAGGTCTTGTTCGCCAGTTCTTAGCAAGCACAGGTCTGAGTCCTACTAAGGGCTTTACATCTCTGTCTCATCTCTCCAATCCTCACCGCTGCCAGCAGAGACAAGAATCCAGTGACATCCCTTCTCCAGAGGCAGATAATCTCATCTCTTTCTTACAGATGAAGAAACTGAGGCTCTGGCCTTTATATGGACACCAACTCATGACTGCCCAGTGTCCACTCTAGGGCTCCCTGCCACTTCATGGTTCCAGTGACCCTTCCCTGGGCCTTGGCTACTCTTCCTGGCTCTAAAACTTCCCTTAGTGTCTCTTCCTTTCCCAGGCTCCTAAGTGTCCTGGAAATGCAGGTGGCTGCAGCACATGGCTACGGATGGTGGGAGGAAGAGGACCCTGGAACAGGAACGGGAGGTGGGAAGGGCATGCTCACCAGGCTCCCTTTTTTTCCCTCCCAGGGTGAGCGCAGGCCCTCCAGGACCCAAGGCCAAATTTGCTCTGGCCAGGCGACCAGTCGGCCGCCAGCCCCAGGCAAAGATCACGGGGAAGATCAAACATTAACTTCCAGCTGGGTCTGCGCTCTGGCCAGGACCCTCCGGTAGGGCTGTCAGCCCTGCTCCCAACCTCCCGCCGAGCCCGCTCCTCCCTCCGCCCTCGCCCTCGCTGCACAGGCCTCCAGCCCGGCCCCCTTCCCCCGCCCCGCGGGCCCCCGCACCTGTTCGGCCCCCGCCCGTCCGGGCCGCACCCCAAGGCCAAGGAAAGGGAAAATTGCCAAAAGAACCGCTCCTGACGCACCAAGCGGTGGGGTCGCAGGATCCACGGCCTTTTACTTCTCTCCCGCAGACCCACTCCGGGGTGCAGGGATGCAGCTCAGTACCCCCGTCAGCCCAAGTTTCTCTGCCACTTCTCGGGCCACCCGGATTTGCCCCCCGCCCCGCCCCCGCCATCGCCGCCGCTCCCCGGGCTTTGCACACGCCAAGCCCTGGGACTCCCAAAGTCCTTTCCCACGTCCAGCTCTCTTCGCCCGCTTTCCTGGGCCCTGCACTAGCTGCCCAGGGTGAACCCTACACGTCCAAAGGGACGTGCACAAGTCGCGCCTCCGGGACCCGCACGATCCCCCTGGCGTCCTGGGCCACGCACACGCCCACCTCGAGGTGCTCAGCAAGGGTCCCCAAGGGGCCTTGGGCCCTGCACCAGCCGCTCCTCCCTCGGGTCCCCGAGTCCCGTACGCGCCCCCATGGCGCCCCGCCAGTACGTCCCCACCCCGGAATCCGGGGCTTGCCCGCGCCTCCCGGGGGCGGGGGCCGTGGCCCAAACTCTGCAGCCTCACCGTGTTCTTCCTGGCCACCATCTTCTCCAGCTTTTTGGCGATCCTCAGCAGCTCCTCTTCCTGGCCCATGTTGGCCCGCGACGCCCGGCGGGGCGAGGGGCACAGGGGCAGCAGTAGGGCCTCGGGGGCAGGAGGCGCGAAGGCGGAGGGCGCGCAACCCGCGCGGGCCCCAAACACACACGACACACACGCCCGGCGGGGGCGGGGCTCTCCCCACCCCCACCCCCCCACCGCCCGCCTCCCAACTGTGCGGGGGAGGGGTGGCGGGCACTAAATATAGACTTCAAGGACTTGCCCGGGCACTGATTGCCCGCGCCGGCCGATCGGGCCTCAGGGGAGGGACGAGGCTGAGAGAGGGGACCCTCCAACTCCGGCCCTTCCAGGGGCGCCGGGGGACCGAAGAGAGATTTGGGAAGGAGGGCTCTCTGGCGAGCTGGGAGGCTGTGACCTGGCCACAGGCGGCGGTCGCGGCGCGGAGGGCGCCCGAGGGTGTCCCAGGGGCCCTGGGAAGCGTTCTGGGCTCCCGCGTCTCTGCACCGTTGCATCTCAAAGCGGGAGGACACAGTTCCGCGCCTATGCCCAAGTGGAGGCAACTCGGTGCGCTCGAATCCCGTGTGTGTGTGTGTGTGTGTGTGTGTGTGTGTGTGTGTGTGTGTGTGTAGATCACTAAATCCAGCTCTGCTTTAACCTGCACTCACTCCATCGTGCACACGGCCTGTGCATGCCACGTGTATCCAGGCTCCTGTTTGCCTCTGTCTACCTAAAACTTCCTTTGCTGGCTGTTTTGTTAGTAAGGCTTTGCATTTTTAACAAGCTCCTATGTGCTGGGGGTGCTGCTGGTCCCAGAACTACACTCTCGAGTAGTGAGAGCTTATCGGGGAGATTCTTTTTATTTTTTTGAGACAGGGTCTCCCTCTGTGGCTGAGGCCAGAGTGGAGTGGAGCAATCAGGCTCACTGCCTCGACTTCCCCAGCTCAAGTGATCCTTTCTGCCTCAGCCTCCTGAGTAGCTAGGACTACAGGCGTGAGCCATCCATCATGCCCAGCTAATTTTTTAATTTTTTGTAAAGACTAGGTCTTACTACGTTGCCCAGGCTGGTCTGGAACTCCTGGTCTCAAGCGATCCGCCTGCCTTGGCCTCCCAAAGTGCTGTAATTACAGATGAGATTCTTTTTTTTTTTTTTTGAGACGCAGTCTCGCACTGTCGCCCAGGCTGGAGTGCAGTGCCACGATCTCGGCTCACTGCAAGCTCTGCCTCCCGGGTTCACACCATTCTCCTGCCTCAGCCTCCTGAGTAGCTGGGACTACAGGCGCCCGCCACCACGCCCGGCCAATTTTTTTGTATTTTTAGTAGAGATGGGGTTTCACCATGTTATCCGGAATAGTCTCGATCTCCTGACCCCGTGATCTGCCTGCCTCGGCCTCCCAAAGTGCTGGGATTACAGGCGTGAGCCACCGCACCCCGCCGAGATTCATTCTTAAGTGCACCAAATTTTGAGAAATATTGATCCAGGTGCAAGGCTGCCAGGTCAGGCCAGTATCCCCTCAGTGGGGTTGGGTTTGGAAGTCATCTTAGTGGAGGGGTGGAAACACAATTGTGCCTATCTTCCCCAGCCATGCAGGGATCTGCCTTCCTGTGGAATGATCTCCAATGATCTTCAAGTATCTCCTGCAGACCCAGTTCTCTTGCTAAATAAGTGAGTTTAATGGACAGAAAATGATCTTCCTGTGATGGGGGTGGGGCTCAGGAACCTGGAGGGAAGGCATGAAAAGTGGTCCACAGTGTGTGGGAGCTGGGGTTGGGGTGTCGAGTGAAATCTCCTGATTTTCCTGAGAGAACCGCATTTCAGCTTGGGTCGCAGAGGCAGCTTGGTGTGGACACCTATCTTCTAATTGCTATGTGACGGGGATCAAGGTAGGACAGAGTGGGTTTTTTTCATCCATTCAACAAATACGTATTGAGTGTCCAAGCAATGAACAAGACAGACCCAGTCCCAGAAAGCTTGAGACTCAGTCTATGGGCAAGAGAAACCTTAAACAAAAACAGACATAGTCAATTAATGCATTTATCATAGCTGGGGTGAAGGGCAGGAAGCAGTGGAGGATAGCTTAAGGACACATTTGAGGGGACCTGCACTATTTAGGGTGTCAACTTCTCTGAAGAAACGAAGTTTAAACTTTGGGCTGAAGTACACAGTGGCCGTTGAGGGGAGGAGGAAGAGTGTTCACGGAAGAAAGGAAGAGGCATTCAACATATATTTATGGAGCACCTAATATGTGCCAGGTAGTTCTTGTTCTGGACATCCAGAGAGGAACAAAACAGTCCTCCCCTCTTGGAGTTCCAAATGTGCAAAGCTTAGGGATGGGAGGGTGCCTGGCCTGCCTGACAGTGTTGGAGGAACTGAAAAATTGGCGTGGCTGCAGCACAGAGGTGAGGAGTGTGGGGAGAGGCAGTGGGTGGGACCTGAGCATGCAGTGCCTGCCGGTCACATTTGGGAAGTTAGACTCTAATGGTTTGGGATTCTCTGGGAGGCCTTTTGGCCAATCCCAGCCAAGCCCTTCTGGGTTGAAGAGACTCAACCTCAGCAGCCTGAGGCTACTTAGGATTGCCTTATTAAAAAAAAGGCCAGGAGCAGTGGCTCATGCCTGTAATCCTAGCACTTTGGGAGGCCAAAGCAGGAGGATTGCTTGAAGCCAGGAGTTCAAGACTAGCCTGGGCAACAGAGAGAGACCTCGTCTCTACAAAATATTTTAAAAAGCTGGGCATGGTGGCGTGGGCCTATAGTCCCAGCTACTCGGAAGGCTGAGGCAGGAGGCTTGCCTGAGCCCAGGAGTTCAAGGTTACAGTGAGCTCTGATTGTGCCACTGTACTCCAGTATGGGAGACAGAGCCATCAAAAAAAAAAAAAAAAGAGAGAGAGAGAGATTTTTCTCAAACTTCCACCCAGTCACCACCCTGAGATGCGCGACATCAAAAAAAAGTTAAGACTCCTAGAATGTCAGGGTATGAAGGCCCCTAAGAAAACATGGAGTCCAACCTCTTTATTGTATAGATGGGAAGACCGAGGCCTAAAGAGGGTGATGATTCTCTCAGGGTTGGACCCTGTTGATACCATCATATCCCCTCTGCCTACCTGTCCACCCTACAGGTCACTGGAAGATAATTCCTGGACACACCTTGGACAGCTCCCCACATTTCTCTATTTGGAGCTTTGGGGTGGTAGGAAATTGATGCCCTCAGAAAGGACACCCCCAACCAGCAAGAAACCAGAGTTGGTGGAAAACATCATTTCTTCACTCTCGATGGGACAACCTGAAGGCATGTTCTAGTCAATACTCCTTCTCACAGGTCCCCAACAAGAGTTAGAGACAGAGTCTCGCTCTGTTGTTCAGGCTGGAGTGCAGTGGCGCCATCATGGCTCACTGCAGCCTTGAACTCCTGGGCTCAAGCAATTCTCCCACCCGAGTAGCTGGAGTATAGGTTCTCACCAACACGCACAGCTCTTTATCTTTGACTTTCTGTTTCATTTCTCTATTCCCTCATTATGCTTCCTGGGATCATTTCACAGATAAGCTACTTGCTCCCAAATCCTTGTCTCAGGGGCAGTCAACAGAGACAGTGGCAGAGGACCATGGGAGAGCTAGAATTTCAGGTCTCCAGACTCCTAGTCCAGTGCTCTTTCCAGGGTTTCTCAACCTTGGCACTATTAACATTTTGGACTGGATAATGCATTGCTAGGGAGGGTTGACCTATGCACCGTAGGATGTTTAGTAGCATCCCTGACCTTTGTCCACTAAATGCCACTAGCATCCTCCAGTTGGGAACAGTCAAAACTGTTTTCTGCTTTATCAGAAGTTCCCCGGGGCAAAACACTGTGGTTGCAAACCACTATTCCACATCAGGCCATCTCCCTTGCCAGGTCCAGAGAAAGAATTTCAAGCCCCAAGATTCCTTTCCCCTCCCTGTTGCTCTTTAGATCACATAAATGAAACCACTGGAAACTGACCCCCCAATCCTTTATTAGAGATGAGTGAAATAACAAGTCTGAGATGAATGAAACCAGACACTGGGGGCTCAAAAGACAACCCTGTTCCTGTGGGAACCACAGACCAGTCAGGTCTCCAGGGGAAACAGCACAGCCTCCCCAGCCAGGCAGCTGTGTTGGCCATTGGTGCTCTCTAGTCTCCCCTGCTTGGCTTGGCCCATTCCTGCCAGGGCCCAGCACCCAGCAACTGGCAAGTTGAGATGTTAGTGGTTGATGATGGCTTAGGTGTATCTGCTTTCTCATTGGGGCTGAGCAATGATAGAATTTCTAGGGCTGGGAAGCAGAACCCTTAAGTCTCTGCCCTCCCAATTCTATTACTCTCCCTTCTTTCTTTGCCTCTCCATTCCCTCAGACTAAAAGGCTCCTGAGTTGACCAAGAGAAAGAGAAGAGAAGTGGGCATCCATCAACCCTGACTATTCCTTTCCTTCCTGCTAAATCAAGGACACAGGCAAATGTGGGTGCATCTGACTCTACAATTTGGCTGGGGAATATAGGAGAATGCCTAGGGAAGGCTGTGCTGTCCCTCAAAAGGAGTGACATTCAGAATATTTTTATTTAACAGCCAGTACAGCATGCATGTTGACCAGCCAGAATGGATGTGATCTGTAGACAATTGTAATGGTCATATAGGTATAAACCAGCTGAGTCCAGAGCCATGCCCTGGAATCTGACCCTGCCTATTCCCAAGCCCAACCCTTAAGACCAGCTTTCCACCAAAGGACCACCCCTGCAGGGCCCTTGTCTTACTCGTGTGGTATCTGAAGTGCCTAACACAGGTCCAGACATAGAGTTGGAATTTAGTGAAGGAATATTAGACTAATAAATGGCTGGCTGAGAAGACAGTCCCTACTTGGCAGGGTCCCTGATCTGGAAGTCAGTGATGGAGGGCTCTCCTGCCCTTGTGAAGCCCCCAGACTGACGGGGGAAATAGAGTCTCGATCTGATGAGGGACTGAGAGTTCTGCAGCTGAAGCCAGCTCAGGAGCACTCAGATCCAGCCACAGGGCTCCCAGGCCCCTAGCGGGTAATGAGATAGGAAAGAACCGCCATCAGTCCTAACAGGGAAAGGCCATGTGTCCTTGGTAGAGGCATGGCCTGTGGCAGGAAGAAGGCCAGCTACAGAGGCACAAGGGACAGAGAGAGTGAGATCCAAGAGAACAAATGTCTCAGCTCCCCAGTTTTGTGAGCTCAAGTCCCAGCTCTGAACATTGGGGCCTAGCATGGGGCATGTGGGGGCCAGCAAGGAGCTAGTCTTGCAAAAGTTGCACAGAACTTGCTGGGAGACTCCCAGTCCTTGAGCCATCTCCTTCAGTGATGCCAACCTGCAGAAAGAAGGATGAAACTGACATTTTCAAAGCACCTGTAACATACCAGGTGTTCATCTCACTCAGTTTCACATCTGTCCTATTGTAGATAAATTAAATTATTCTCATTTTACAGACAAAGAAACTGAGGCTTGAGGAAGTGAAGCCACTTATCCAAAGTCTCCTTACTCTAAAGCCCAAGCTCTTGCTATCATACACACCACAATCACAGGCATCAATTAAATGCCATCTGATGGATACTTGGTTTTCAGGGCAATAGTGGAACCAGAATATGGACATAGATTTGTGTCTGCTGACTAACTCTGGTGGACTAAAGATGACGATTCCCCAGACAGAACCAGCTTTTGCCCCTGCCATCCTGACTCCCAACACAACCAATGCCATTCTGAGGAATTCCCAGAGGAACAAGGGACAGAAGAGGCTTCTTTCCCAACACAACTGGCTCTGATCTGTGCCCACTCCTAGGTTCAACTAATATATGCCATTGTTGGAGACTTGGTGATTCAGCAGGGAGAAGCTGGATTAAGGATGACAGCTCTTGCCCTGTCCCTGTCACATCCCTCTATGCCTGGGATCTGAAAGTCCCTGTGGATTCCAGGAGACTCATGAACAAGGGGAGAGTTAGGCAAACAAGGGCTGGTACACGGCCACCTAATCCTGCCTCTTCTGCAGGGAAGTGATGCCTTCTCTGAGCGACTGGCCTGGCTAACACAACTTTCCTCATCCTCCCCTGGGGAGAAGCCAGAGCTTGGGCCTCATGATCACTGCCATCCCTCAAGGCCTGGGCTCTCCTCAGCTTCACCCAGCCCTGGGCTGGAGCATGGAAAGAGGAGCACCAGGACAGGGACTGGCCAAACTGCAGCCACCTGGGCACCAGGACAGGGACTGGCCAAACCGTGGCCACCTGGGCACCAGGACAGGGACTGGCCAAACCGTGCCCACCTGGGCACCAGGACAGGGACTGTCCAAACTGTGGCTGCCTGGGCCCATCTGTACCCCAACCATGGGGAGGTCTCCCACCCCAATACGCCTACTCTTGACTAACTCTGCCTCCCAGGCACCCTGCCACCGCCCCTCAAACCATGGTCCCAGAGTTCCTACCGGCACGTTCCTTCTGGGCAGAGGCTGCCTGGCTGAGGGACCATCTTCAGGGCTCCGCGCCCCCCGCCGATAGGAGCGAGTGCTCTCGGAGCTGGAAGGCAGGGAAAGGCCAACATGACCCTCATGTCCAGAGAGCCCCTCAGAGTGGGGAGAAAGGGCTCAGGAACAGAGCCAGTCTGGGGGCTTAGGATGGGTGGGTAGAGTCCACAAGGCCCCCAGGCCAGGTCCATCACAGGCCCAAGAAGGCTGGAACTGACCTCCAGAAGACTCTGTGGATATCTGCAGGTCTACTTCTCCCCAAACTCCAGACTGAATGGGTTTGTATGGAAGGGAGAAGACTGGATCCTGGGTTGGAGGTGGGGACAGAGTGAAGACCCCACTGAGAGCCTCTAGAATAAGCCACACAGGGGGCTAAGCCTACTTTACTCCAACATCAGCAGGGAGGATCCCTGGCTCCTCCTCAGCTCTCCATGCAGGATTTGGGAGCAAGTGTGTGAAGGGGGAAGGGGTCCCAGGGTTCAGCATTTCTGCATAAGTGATGGGCCCAGAGATGGCGTGTGACCCAGTCTTTAGGCAGGTACTATTTAGAGGTGTGGAAATCAATGGATGCTCAGAGAAGTCAGGGGATTTGCCCTGGTTGCACAGCTGGGCCCTCACCAACCTGAATCTGACGGGGAGGTACATCTCCGAAGGGGTGGTCCCGGATGTCAGGCTGGGTCTGGAGGTGCCTGGGGGCTCTCGGAGGCCCTCTTCAGAGTTGGGTGGGGCTTGGCTGGGATCCCCAGGTTCCAAGGGGCTCATCAGACTGGAGGAGGAGGCTGGACTGCCCAGGCTCTCAGGGGTCTCAGGGGCCTCTGAACTCAGGCTGGAGACTTCAGAACGATCTGGAATCAGAAACATCAGAAATGATAAAGCTTTTCTTTATCACTTGCTCTGTGCCCAACCTCAAAGCAGTCTCTGGCCTCTAGGATTTTTTTTTTTTTTTTTTTTGAGACAGAGTCTCACTCTGTCACCCAGGCTGGAGTGCAGTGGTGCAATCTCGGCTCATTGCAACCTCCGCCTCCCAGGTTCAAGAGATTCTCCTGCCTCAGCCTCCAGAGTAGCTGGGATTACAGGTGCATGCCACCACACCTGGCTAATTTTTGCATTTTTAGTAGAGATGGGGTTTCACCATGTTGGCTGGGCTGGTCTCAAAATCCTTACCTGGGGTGATCCGCCTGCTTCGGCCTCCCAAAGTGCAGAGATTACAGGCACGAGCCACCACATCTGGCCTAGGATCTCTTCTGGTTCTCTGCCAATAGTCCATTCCCCATCTACCTGTCCAGTATTCTCCTTCAACTGATGAAGCCTTTGTTCGCGGTGGCCAGGGCCATGCTGACTCACTTTTTTGCTTGTGCTCATACCCTGTCCCAGTTTGGATTCTCCTGCTCATCCCTCAGGTTCACTCATATGCTATCCTCACCAGGAAGCCTTCTTAAACCAACCCCCAATCCCAGCAGGACATGCTCCCTCTCCAACTGCCCCAACCTCCCACAACAAGTCTGTTCCTTCATTCGACAAATAGTTCTTGAGAACAGCCAGGCTCTGCGCTAGGCACTGGACAAATAGTATTCAATGAAACACTCAAAGTCCTTGTCCTTTTGGGATTTACATTCTATATCACATTGTGCCTTGTATTATAATGAATTGCATTCCAGTTTTTATCTCCCCTACTAGACTGTGTCTTGGTAGCCCTCAAAGGACTCAGGATGAAGGGGATGCTCAATAAACTCGTTTCTCTCTTGTTAAGTGGAGCATTGAGGAATTTGGAATAAGATGGGCTGAGATTTGAATCCTACATCAGAGACTTATTAGCTGTGGGATCTTAAACATGTGACTTAACACCTCTGTTCTTTTATCTGTAAGGGGAAGATGAGAACCCCTTCCTGGGAGGTCATCATAAGGATAGTACGGACTAACATATGCACTCAGCTCAGTGCCCCAGCATATACAGGTCCTCTGTGAATGGCATGGTGAGCATTTATCTGGGCATCCAACTGTACCTCCACTGGCATGTCTTGCACACCCTTGGACCAAAGTCCGAGAAGAGTTTTTGACTGGCAAGGGCGGGGGACAGTCCTCACTCTCGCCCTGAGGGGTGGCTGCTCCCAGGCTGGCGACAGTCTCATAGGTCTTGTTGCTGATGTCCAGCCTCCCACTGGCCCAGTGAGCCTGGGCCGGGAGCTTCAGCAAGCAGCGCTGCCAGAGCAAAAGATTGAGGATGAGGACAGCCTGGTTCCTCCGGTGTAGCCCTGTCCCCCCGCCTCACCGCCCCCGCCAACACACACCAGGCCCAATCTGGCTCTTTCCTTCTGCCATCCAGAGGCCTGAGGGACAGGGCTGGGACCCACCTTCTCTTCCTCATCCTCCTCACTGTCAGAGCCAGGCTCTGTGGAAATTACCCAGGAGTAGTCCACATGTAGAGGGAAGGCAAAGGTCCCCGCCTGGGCCTGCTCCAGCTGCCAAAAACAAAGGCTTGGTGGTTCAGAGGGTTGGGGGCTCAGCAGGGAGAGAGAAAGAGTCAGGGGCCCCTTGCCTCCCCGAGTCCTCACCAGCTCCTCACACTCCTTGTGGTGCTTCTTCCTGGCTATGTCCAGAGCTGTCTCGCCTGCTTCATTTACTGTGAGCGGGGAAAGTCAGGGTTCATGGTCATAGTCAAAGAAACATTACAGCTTAGAGATTAAGACGGGCCTCTGGAATCAGAATGTATGGGTTTGAATCCTGGCTCTGCCATTTTCTGGCTATGTGACCATAGGCAAGTTATATAACCTTTTGGGACAAAATTGTTTATGAAATGAGTATAATACTTGGAACTACCTGATGAAGTGGTTGTGAGGATTCAATTAATTAACATACAAAAAGCACTTGTCCCATTGCCAGGCATATGTTAAACAATACATATTAGCTATTACAATCATTATCATTCAGATCTAGCTAATATTTATTTGCCTAAGTACTCCCAGAAATATTATTTTCTTTTTTCTTTAGCAGTCCTGCTAGGTCAGTGGTATTATTCCCATTTTACAGATGAGGAAGCTGAAATTCAAGAGCTGAATGACAAACCCCTAAGATCACAGAGGTGGTCAGAAGCAAGCCAGGATTAGAGCCCGAGACCATCGGAAGTCCACATAAGGGGTAGTCAGGAATAGGAGTCTGACGGAGGAGGTATTCAAGCCCCACCTGTGCCAACCAAAGCTCTCCCCTTCAGCAGCAGCTTGAGGCAGTCGGGCTGGTTGTAGAGTGCTGCGTAGTGCAGAGCCGTGTTCCCGTCAGCAGCCTTGGCATCCAGGTGACCACTGGGGAGAGGAGGGTTCAGGGAGAAAGGAAGGGGAACAGATCAATGAGGGGATCAAAGTCAGGGGAAAAAGTGGGAGGGGAAAGGAGGGAAGAGAATGGGAGAAGAGGAAGGAAAGGAGAGGGAGTGTGAGGAGCCAGACAGACAGGCAGGGAGGCTCTCACCCGTTCTGGATGATGAAATCCACCAGAGGCAGGGAAGCCTGGTTGGCGACTTTGACAGCCAAATGCAAGACGAGTTCTTCAGGTGCCTGAAAACACATCCACACCTCTGAGATTCCCCCCCCAGTGCACCTGCCTCCAACCCAGTATTTCCCTCTTGAACTCTTGCTAACCCCTTATCCCCCCATAGGAAGCTGCCAGAACCCTGGAGAGATGAGACTGCAAGGGCAGAGCCTCATGTCTGGGAGGAAGGTGAAGGGCCATTCTCCCATTGTTCCCATTCACGGCTCTTCCTCCTCTGCCCCCAACAAGTGTTTCCCAAACTTCTTTCTCAGCTCTCGGCTCCTCTCCCTGATCGCACTTCCCCACCAAGACCTCAGCAACCTCACATTTTCAACTATCACACATGTGCAGGCTGTTCCAAATTCTTACCTCACCTAAGTGCTGCACTGCCCATTGGATAGCCCACCAAGATATCAGACAGACAGTTCAAAGATACCCGTTTTTAGTTTTTCTGAGACAGGGTCTCGCTTTGTCACCCAAGCTGGAGAGCAGTGGCGCAATCACAGCTCTCTGTAGCCTCAACCTCCTGGGCTCAAGCCACCCTCCCACCTCAGCCTTCTGAGTAGCTGGGACCACAGGTGTGTGCCACCATACCCAGCTAATTTTAGTTGTTGTTGTAGAGATGGGGGTTTCCTTATTTTGCCCAAGCTGATTCTGAACTCCTGGGCTCAAGTGATCCTTTCACTTTGGCCTCCCAAAGTGTTGGGATTACAGGCGTGAGCCACCACACCCAGCCAACATCCAATTTTTGATGTCGAATCAGTCAGCAACTCCTGTTGATTTACTTTTTCAAATGTCTCTGATATCCTTTCTCCATGCTCATGTGTTTGTTCTTGGAATAGCCAAAGCAATGTGGCCTTCCTGGCTCTAAACTGACATGCCCTTATATTTCAGGGCTATTTAGGTGAAAGAAAAAGATATTAACGTTTATTGCATGCCCATTGTACACTAAGCCCTTTATATACATGACTTCTCACTTCATCACCGTGGGTGCTATTATTAACCCCTTTTATAGATGAGGAAATGAGACTCAGAGAAGTAACCTGCCCTAGATCACACAGCTAGGAAAAAACAGAGCCAGGATTCCCACCCAGGTCTGCCTGACTGAAGCTGTGCTCTTTCCCACTTACCACTCTGATGGGTGAGATCTGAGCAGATGTCAGAGGTGGGGTGGAGGGGAGTAACAGCTGGTCCTGGAGAAGAACTGGGGAATATGTTAGACAGGTGGGTTATAAGTGGCCCTTGGAGGGGTTCTCACCTGTGCATCAGGCCCTGGCAGCGGCTGTCCAAAGTCCTGCCCATTGGCAAAGGCCTCCAGTACCGACAGGAGGTCCCTGTTGCAAATGGCTGTCCAGAGTCGCTGAGGCTCAGGTGTGCACCGGCGTGCAAACCTATGCTCCACATACTTGGCCATAATGTAGTCCCTGCGGGTGCCCCTACCAAAAACAACCACAGGATCTCAGAGCATGGACCGTGTCTGCCCAGCTGATCCCTGGGGCCCTCCCACAGGAGATACAGCTCTCTTTTTCTCCAGAACCATGTCCTGAAGACGTCTAGATCTGAGGCTCCCCTCTCCCCAGGCTTTTTTTTTAGACAGTCTCACTCTATTGCCCAGGAGGGAGTGCAGTGGCGCAATCTCGTTTCACTACAACCTCTGCTTCCAGGGTTCAAGCAATTCTAGTGCCTCAACCTCCTGAGTAGCTGGAATTACAGGCGTGTGCCACCACGCCCAGCTAATTCTTGTATTTTGAGTACAGGCGGGGTTTTGCCATCTTAGCCGGGCTGGTCTCAAATTCCTGACCTCAAGTGATCCGCCCGCCTTGGCCTCCCAAAGTGCTGGGATTACAGGCGTGAGCCACTGCGCCCAGCCTCCCCAGACTTCTGATCCAAGACTTTTCTACGACCCTGGACACTGCGGAGGCAGAATCCCCTAGGCAGGGTGCCCCTCTCTCTGAGAATCCCCTTACATGTCACTCTCAGCTGAGGGTTTAGGGCCGCCGTGTGAGGGTAGCTGGGCCTCCATGACCTCATTGAAGCTCGTGTTTCCCATGTTCAAGGCCAGCTGGAGTCGTAGGAAAATAGACGTGGGGCGGAGTAAGACCGGGCGGTTAAGCCTGCATAGGGTGGAGCTCCAAGCCCCCAGAGTCCCGCCCCTCGGCCGCCCTCCCGGTTCAGGCCCCGCCCCTGACCACCCGCTACCTGGCTTGTCCCAGCCCACCTCGGCCAGGTCCCACCCACAACCTGCAAGCCCCGCCCCCGGATGAAACTACACCCCTAACTCCGCTTCTGGCCCCTTCCAGGCCCCGCCCCGCCCTCACCAACAACTCGGAGGGGCCCAGCAGGTCCAAGGTGAGTGACTGCATGCGCGAAAAGCGCACGCCCAGTTCGCGGTGGACGCCCGAGCACTGGATGCAGGTGAGCACGCCCAGGTTGGTGCTGAGCCACGTGGGGTCTGCAGAGGAAAGCAGCTGGAGCCTGGAGGTGCAGCCCCTCCCCTCCACTTAAGCCTCCCTCCTGCCCCGGCCCCGGGGACCGACCTGCAGCCCCGCAGTCGCAGCACTGGCTATTCCCAGGCCTGCTCTTCACCTCCGCGATGAGCAGCTTTGTGAGGTCGTGCGGCTCCCCATCATGGCCGGCGGACCCCCAGGACCCCGGGCCAGCGCTGGGCTCCCCGAGGAAGGCGCTGCTCAGGGCTTCGTCCTTGCTGTTCTGCAACACTGACACCCACCTGCGGAGATTGAACGGGGTGGGATGGGGATGTCAAGTGGGAAGAGATAGGGCCGCCGGCCCCCACCCACAAGGCTGGCCGGGCTGGCCGAGGGGGCACTCACGCCTCACACTCGTGCTCGTCCTCTGCCTGAAAGTGGTACGTCCGGTTGTCTGTCGGGAGAGAAGGGGGCTTCTGACCCACAGAAATGCTGCTGGCCTTCCCGGAGCCCAGGGAGCCCCCACCAAAGCCGCTGGGGCCACATGGAGATGTGTCCCTGACAAGTCGGACTCTCAAGCTAGGAGTGGGAAGGGAGTGGAATGACAGTGGCCAGCACCAGGGGCAGTTTCTCAGAACTGGCCTCCGAAGTAGGATCCCAACAAAGCTCCCTCTGCGTGAAGCCCTGGTTCCAGGCTCAGACGAGGTCTCAAAGGGCTTGGAACCCCAGAGAACCCAGCTCTGAGGCAGGGCATCCTCTGAACCAACTGTCACCACCCCACTGGGCCCTTCCTGGTCTCCTCCTGGGCGACCAGGCCTCCTGTCTGGTCTCCCTGCTTCCCATTTCCCCTTTCCCCTAGCCTGTACCAGCTCCCAACTGTTGTGCCCAAGGCTCTGCTCTAATTACACCACTGCCCTGCCCCAAGATCTCCCATGGCTCTCTATTGCCAGGAAATAAGGTCCAAACTTTTAAGAGGGATTTCCAGGCCTCATCTCTCACTCTGCTACATGAACCCTCCACTCTGGCCAAACCGGCCAGACCCACTCTCCTGCTTCCATGCCTTTCATCATGCTAATCCTGTCTCCTCAAAAGCCCCCACCCCACAAACTCTTCATTCTACATGTCCTTCAAGGCTAAACTCAAATACTGTCTCCTCCAGGAGCCTTTCCTGATTCCCCACAGCAGTGCAGGCCTTCCTGCTCCCTAATCTTCTATGGGGCTATATCTGCACCCATCTTCTGGACAGCCCCCTCATCTTACAGTCCTGGGTACCCACCCCACACCCCTGCCAGAGAGTTTCCTGAGGACAAGATCTAGGTCTTTCTCAGCCTGTGTCTGCTCTCACACAAAGCCTGCACCAAAGGCTCTGAAGAACGAAAAGTAGAAAATGTAAAGAAACAATAATTTCATCTCCTTCAAGTCTGGGTATTTGGGAAAAAAAGGTAAAATTTTAAAAAAAGAAATAATTTCAAAACCCAGATGACCCAAATCCACTCAAATATGCTCTGTATAAATAGCCACATTTATTATGTAAAGTGGGTGCATTTTGACATTTAATGTGATGTGGGTATCCTAGACCTAAGGATTCTTATGTCTGCAGTAGCAGCAATTCGACACCATGTGTGGAACTGGACACAGACCCCTCACTGAAGCCCCCCGGGAGCTGACAGGTGTCTTAGAGAAGCCCTGAGCAGCTGTGGGTGGGGGAGAGGCACAGGGACCACTCACGGGTCACCAGGTCGAAGCACTTTTTCTCCTCAGGGTTTGGCCTCACTTGGCACGTCAGCAGGGTCAGCTTCACCGGGGGCCGGTTTATCTGTGGGAATTTAGGGGCGGAGGATGTATGCATTACCTCTGGCCCTCCACATTCTTTAGGCCTCCATTTCCCACTCTGTTAAATGGGCATAATCATCCTGTTCCATTTGTGTTTCTCCTCACCCAGCAGCACCTCAAGGATGTGAAGTGTAGACTAAGACTAGATTGGGGCCTTCAGGTCCCATCTGTCCTCCCAAACGGGTCTCCAGCTCCCTGGACCTAGGTTTGGGGGCCAGTCTTAGAGGGAGGGCTTGACATTATTTGCTCAGAACACCAGAAGAAGAGGGTCCATCGTGCCCTGAGACTCCCACCACCTCTAGGCCTCACCGTGCTGTGTGAGATGGTCAGGCAGCCATACTTGACTCCACACTTCCTTTTCTGCCAGACTCTTCGAATTCTAAAGCCCAGAGGGATAGAAGGACAGTGACCCAAGGCTCACACCTAGTTCGCAGGTGTCAGAGAACAGAAATTTGCCCCCACCTGTATGATCTCTAGCCACATCCCTTTACCTCTTTCTTCTCCTAACCCTACACCCCCACCCCTGACCCCTGACTCTCTGGGGCTCCCTTCTGATGGAGGAGACACAGTTCTGCTCTTAGGAAGATGCCAGTCTGATGGAGAAACACAGCCTCACTCCCTGGGAATCCTTATTCTAAGGGGATGATGTGACTTTGGCCCTCTGAGAGCTCCCAGTCTGATGGGGGAGACATAGCTTATATCATTAGGGAGCTCCTAGTCTGAGAGGCACAGGCTCTTGACAACAACAAATAAATTGTGGTTCAACTAAGCAAGATCAATATTAATATCCCCAAAATAAAATTAGCAAGTCCATGATCCAAAACTCCGTAACACTTCTCCTGTAACAGGTAAATATTCATTGGTTTCTTCTTCAAAGTTATTCTTCTCCGATTAAACTGATTGGTAGGTAGAAACATGAATATATCCCACAAGGGCCTTTGCATTTCACAGCAGTTTTGTTTTTTTGTTTTGTTTTGTTTTGAGACAGGATCTTTCTCTGTCACCCAGGCTGGAATACAGTGGCACGATCTCGGCTCATTGCAATCCCTGCCTCCCAGGTTCAAGCAATTCTCATGCCTCAGCCTCCCAAGCAGCTGGGACTACAGGCTCACGCCACCATACCCAGCTAATTTTTTGTATTTTTAGTAGAGATGGGGTTTCACTATGTTGGCTGGGCTGGTCTTGAACTCCTGGCCTCAAGTGATCTGCCTGCCTTGGCCTCCCAAAGTGCTGGGATTACAGGTGTGAGCCACTGCACCTGGCCCACAGACTGATTTTTTTTTTTTTTTTTACACTAGGAAGCAAGGCACAGCCAATACTTTCATTTCTAGGCATATTCAGTATATTGCAGAGATTAATTAGGGCATAGGCTGGGCGCAGTGGCTCACGCCTGTAATCCCAGCACTTTGGGAGGCTGAGGCTGGCAGATCACAAGGTCAGAAGATTGAGACCATCCTGGCTAACACGGTGAAACCCCGTCTCTACTAAAAATACAAAAAATTAGCTGGGCGTAGTGGCGGGCACCTGTAGTCCCAGCTACTCGGGAGGCTGAGGCAGGAGAATCGCTTGAACCCAGGAGGCGGAGGTTGCAGTGAGCTGAGATCACGTCACTGCACTCCAGCCTGGGTGACGGAGGGAGACTCCATCTCAAAAAAAAAAAAAAAAAAAAAAAAAAAAAAGAATGAGGGCATAGTAAGTGTTGCAATAAGTGTTAGCTACTGCCAGCCGGGCGCGGTGGCTCATGCCTGTAATCCCAGCACTTTGGGAGGCTGAGGCGGGCGGATCACAAGGTCAGGAGATCGAGACCATCCTGGCTAACATAGTGAAACCCCGTCTCTACTAAAAATACAAAAAAATTAGCCGAGTGTGGTGGCGAGTGCCTGTAGTCCCAGCTACTCGGGAGGCTGAGGCAGGAGAATGACATGACCCGGAAGGCGGAGCTTACAGTGAGCCGAGATCATGGCACTGCACTCCAGCCTGGGCGACAGAGTGAGACTCTATCTCAAAAAAAAAAAAAAAAAAAAGTGTTAGCTACTGCTATTCTTCTTCTTTAACTTAAAATAACCAGTCACCTTTAGCAGAAGTTCACATGCCCAGGTGTCCTGGACAACCCAGGAATTGAGGATTTTACATTGCAACCCTCGGTGTCTACACAAATGATTAGAACAGTTCCTTTGGGCAGCTTCCCCAACCCTGTCATTTACTTGCAGTGTGACATTGGGCAAATTATGTAAGCTCTGAATCACTTACCCGTCACTTTTCTTGTATAGAAAGCCCACTTTCTCCGTCCCAAACTGCTTGTTGCCTTGGTGCTGGTGGATGCTATAGCCACATCCTGAGTTCTTCCGGCTCAGGTGTTCCTGTCCCTCGGACATGCAAAGGAGACCTCAGGGCATCTCAGTGGGAAGAGCCCCATTCTGCGGGGGCTCACTCAGGGAGACTTCTCCAGGGGACCCTGTGGGTCTTCCTTCTCTCCCTCCCTCCACGGTGGGCCTTGGGGGAGGGCATTCCTTTTGGGATAGTTCAGGGGCTGACCTCTCTGCTCTCAAGCTGCAGTGTCCCTCGGAGGGAGTCCCGGAGCTGGGTCAGCTTCTGTAGCTCGTCCTCCTGGGCCTGATGGAGCTATGGGACAGAGGATGGGATCCCATCACCAGCCAACAAATATGTCAGGCACAGAGCCCAGACCCAGAAGAGCAGAGCAGTAGCCTCACTCTGTGGGCAGAAGCCAGCTCTTCCACACCCACAGATTTTCCTGGAAGGACAGGGGGCTTGATCACGTGCCCAAGGGTGAGACCCAACTTACTGCATGTACTGAGGCCGCCAGCTTCTCGATGAAGGGGAACAGGCTCTGGGCAGCCTTCCAGCCATCTTGGAAAAAGCTAAGAGGTGTCAGAGGCCAAACAAGGGTCCAGATAAAGATGGAAATGAGAGATGAAGCCAGAAGTGTGGGAGAAGCTGCCGTAAGGATCACAGGGCACCTCAGGGAATTGTAGTCTGACGGTCAAGAACAGACACTCCATAGACAAGAGTCTCTCTTGACTAGGTTCAAATCCCACTTACTAGCTATGTAATCTTGGAAAATAAGCCTCAGTTTTCTCATCTATAAAATGGGGATAATAGAGTACCTGCTCCCAGAAGTGTTGGGGAATTGAGCGAATTGATGTTTGTAAAGTACTCATGCCTGACACCCGGTGAGCACTCAATGAGGAACTATGAAAGTTCTGCCAAAAAGATGCAGGCCTCCAAAGAGACTCTCAGGTCTATCACACCTTGAGAGGGGCCTTGTTCTGTGACACTGGAAGGGTTAGTGGCAGGGACGCGGGAAGATACCTACTTGTGCTGGGCGTGGAAGAACTTGATGAGGCTCTGAAGGAAGTCAGGACCTTGCTTCATCTGGCTCTCCCCGGCTTTGAGCAGATACTAGGAGGAGGGCAGGGCAAGATACGTGATGTGAGCTGAAGCAGAATCCTGGGAACGAGGGGCTGCAGTCCCCATCCCAGGCTAATCCTCCTGGCTGCGACTGGGCCTTGGTGACATCCCACAGGGCCATGTGGCCAGGACCTGAGCTGAGGCTGTGACTGGTCCCCTGGAGAGGCAGACAGGAAGACACATCCCACGCCCCCCCTCCCTCATCCAGAGCACCCCTTACCTCACACATGTGCAGCTGGAAGATGCGCCGCTCTCTCTGCATGTCCTGGGCCACCTCCCCAGGGATCCCTCCTGTCACCCTGGCCCGATCGCGCTCCTTCTCCAGCTTGGCCCTAGACCCCAAGGAAAGAGAAGCCTGAACAAGTCTCACCAGCCCCTATATCCTCTTCTGCCAAGGATGCATGAGCAAAGGGGCCACATGGTGCAGGAGGCCCTCCTGTGCCAGCTGTGTGGTGGGGCTGGGTACAATGAACAAGACAGTTTAGGGAATCCACAGAGTGGTGGGGGAGAAAGACATGAATCAAATCACAGCCACGCAGAGAACTATGGGAGAGAAAATGGGGATCCAACCTCGTTGGGGCTAGTTGGGAAGTGATGTCTGAGCTGGGATCTGAAGCCTGAGAAGCTTGGAGGAAGCTACTGCTGGGCAAGAGGGATGGACCATGTGATGGCCCCAAGGCAGGAGCGAGTGCCAAGATGGAGAGGGCTGGTGCCAGCTAAGGTAAGGAGGTGCCAGACCATGCAGGGTCTAATTCACACCATGTTAATATATTCTTGGTCTTTATCCCAAGAGTAATGGGAAGGATTTGAAGGTGTTTATTCAGGGGGATGAAGGACTCAAACAAGGGCCAAGTGAGATTTGGGGCAAACAGTTCTGATTTTCCTGGAAAGGATTTAAGAACACAGGTGCCTTCAATCTTTTTTATTTGTATTAATTTTATAGATTCAGGGGGTACAAGTGCAGTTTTGTTTCGTGGATATACTGTGCAGTGGTGAAGCCTGGGCTTTTAGAGTACCCATCACCCGAATAGTGTACATGGTACCCAATAGGTAATTTTTCATCTCTCACCTATCCTCCCACCTTTTGAAGTCTCCAATGTCTACTATTCTGCTCTGTCTGTCCACATGTACCCATTGCTTACCCCCCTACTTATAAGGGAGAAAGAACATGCAGTGTTTGACTTTCTGTTTCTGAGTTATTTCAAAGTGCTTTCATTCTTCTGAGCCCATGGAGCTTCATACTTAAAGCTCAGAAAACCTTTGTTCTTTTATTTTCTTTTTCTTTCTTTTTCTTTTTTTTAGTGCAGTGGTGCGATCTCAGCTCACTGCAACCTCCACCTCCCAGGTTCAAGCCATTCTCATGCCTCAGCCTCCTGAGTAGCTGGGATTACAGGTGCCCACCTCCATGCCCAGCTAATCTTTTTTTTTTTTTTTCAGACGGAGTCTCGCTCTGTTGCCCAGGCTGGAGTGCAGTGGTACGATCTTGGCTCACTGCAACGGCATGATCTTGGCTCACTGCAACCTCGGCCTCCTGGGTTCAAGCGATTCTCCTGCCTCAGCCTCCCGAGTAGGTGGGAGTACAGGTGGGTGTCACCATGCCTGGCTAATTTTTTTGTATTTTTAGTAGAGATGGGGTTTCACCGTGTTAGCCAGGATGGTCTTGATCTCCTGACCTCAGGTGATCCACCCACCTCAGCCTCCCAAAGTGCTGGGATTACAGGCATGAGCCACCGTGCCTGGCCAACACCCAGCTAACTTTTGTATTTTTAGTAGAGACGGAGTTTCACCATGTTGGCCAGGCTGGTCTTTGAACTCGGGCCTCAAGTGATCTGTCCACCTCAGCCTCTGAAAGTGCTGAAATTACAGGCATGAGCCACCACGCCCCACCGTGCTCTTCTCTTTTTAAGTGGAGACAGAAAGCGCTTCCCATCCTTGTAGCTAAGAGTAACTGGGGCCTTCCCCCTCAGAGGTTGGCTGTTTTCCCTCTTTGGGGATGGGTGGATCTGTGTGTAAATGGTTTCCTGGAAATCCCACGCCCAGCAGACTACCCACTCACAGCCAGGAGAGTATTTCCACATCTCAGGCTGGGTGCATGTGACTCCAAATCCCATGTAAAGGAAAGGGCTTGCTTAATAGTTCTGCTCTCAAGTGGGGGCCAGCCCTGAGCAGAGAAGACAAAGACAGAGTGGGATTAATACAAACTCTGCTGCTTGCTGGCTGCATTTATTCCCCTCTCTGAGCCTTGGTCTCCTCATCTGGAAAACGGAGATTCTTATCTGTACCCAGATGAGGCACAGCATGGAAAAGACTCAGCACATAGAAGACACATGGCAGCTTTTACTGTAGGCCCCTCAAGGCCTCTGTTTTCCCATCTGTAAATGGAGGAAGCAATGGTCTACGGTAAGTTCTCAGGTCCCTTCTGACTCTAAAGTTCTGGGCCCTCCTGAGTAGGTAAGACCTCTGGGATAGTGTTCATATACAGAATCTGTCCCTGGGGACCTGTAGAGCAGTTTCTCAACCATGGAACTGATAACATTTTTGGCCAGATGATTCTTTGTTATGGGGGGCTGCCTGGTGGTTTGTATGTTTAGCAGCCTCCCTGACCTCCACCCACTAGCTGCCAGTAGCATCCCCCCAGCTGTGACAACCAGAAATGTCTCCAGACATTGCAGGCTCTGTAGGCTTTTTTTTTTTTTTTTAATTTTAAAGAGGGGGTTATTTTTTATTTCCTTAAGCTTTCTGATACCCCAAGCAAGAGTTTGTAAAGAGTGGTAGAAGTAGGGTAGGAACTGATCCTGTGAACCAGGCCTGAGGGTCAGGACAGACTTCTTTGTGAATCTGAAAAAAAGCAGCAGAGAGGGGAGGTGATGGCTGGGCCTGCAGCATCTCAGCAGCAGTGCCTGGCAGCTTGCTATGGAATTAGGGAGGGCTGGGCGTGGAAGCTTATGCTTGTAATCCCAGCACTTTGTGAGGCCAAGGTGAGAGGATTGCTTGAGCCCAGAAGTTCGAAACCAGCTCGGGCATCATGGTGAAACCCTGTCTCTACAGAAAAATTTAAAAATGATCCAGGCATGGTGGTGTGTGCCTATAGTCCCAGCTACTCAAAAGGTTGAGGTAGGAGGATCCCTTGAGCCCAAGAAGTCAAGGCTGCAGTGAGCTGTGATTGTGCCACTGCACTCCAGCCTGGGTGACAGAGCAAGACCCTGTCTCTCCAAAAAAAAAAAGGAATGAGGGAGACCAAGTGACATCAGGTGGGCTGGCGTAGGGGAAGTCTCCCAGTGTACACTGTTACCATATCTTTCAATAGTCAAAAATGGAAAATAAGCTAAATGTCCATCAGTAGGAAGTAGTTAGACAAATAATAGTATGGCGATATATAGAAATATCATGCAGCTGTTAGAATGAAGATTGGCCAGGTGCAGTGGCTCATGCCTGTAATCCAAGTGCTTTGGGAGGCTGAGGTGGGAGGATCATTTGAGGCCAGGAGTTCAAGACCAGCCTAGGCAACATAGCAAGACCCCGTTTCTACTTTAAAACAAAATTTTAAACCATTATCCAGGCATGGTAGCATGGTCCTGTAAGTCCCAGCGACATGGGAGGCTGAGGTAGGAGGATCACTTGAGCCCAGGAGTTCAAGGCTGCAGTGAGCCATGATTGCACCACTGCACCCCAGCCTGGGCAACAGAGTAGACTCTGTCTCAAGAAAAAAAAAAAAGAAGAAGGAATATCTGTACATGTGATTGGCCCTCCATATCTGTGGGTGTAAAGCCTGAGGATATAGGCAGCTGACTAAGGGGCTTTAGCATCCTCAGATTTTGGTATCTGCGGGGGTCCTGGAACCAATCCCCCATGGATAATGAGGGATGACTGTACTGACATGGAAATATATCTGCTCCAGAGTAAATGGACAAAAAGCAAACCACAATACAGTACAGTGGTTAGAAATGTAGATTCTGGATTTGAATGGCAGCTCCTTCACTTACTTAACCTTTATAAAACTTTCTGAGCTTGTTTCCCCATTTGGAAAATGAGAATAATACTGTAGTCCCCCCTTCTCTGTAGTTTTGCTTTCTGTGGTTTCAGTTATTCATGGTCAACCCCTGTCCAAAAATATTAAATGGAAAATTCCAGAAATAAACAATTCATAAGTTTTTTTGTCTTTTTTTTTTTTTTTTTGAGATGGAGTTTTGCTTGTCACCCAGGCTAGAGTGCCATGGCGCCATCTCAGCTCACTGCAACCTCTGCCTCCCAGGTTCAAGCGATTCTCCTGCCTCAGCCTCCCAAGTAGCTGGGATTACAGGCGCCCACAACCACACCCAGCTAATTTTCGTATTTTTAGTAGAGCCGGGGTTTCACAATGTGTTTCAGGCTGGTCTCGAACTCCTGACCTCAGGTGATCTGCCTGCCTCGGCCTCCCAAAGTGCTGGAATTACAGGCATGAGCCACCATGCCCAGCCCAATTTGTAAGTTTTAAATTATGCATCATTATGAGTGGCATGTGAAATCCTGCATCCTTCTGCTCCATCCTGCCTGGAACATCAATCATCCTTTTGTTCAGTGTATTTACACTGTCTATCCAGCAGTCTCCAACATCTTGGCACCAGGGACTGGTTTCATGGAAGACAATATTTCCACGGATAGCAGGGTGGGGGAGGGTGGTTTTGGGATGGAACTGTTCCAGCTCAGATCATCAGGCTTAGATTCTCATAAGGAGCATGCAACCTAGATCCCTGGCATGTGAAGCTCACAATAGGGTTCGTGCTTCTATGAAAATCTAATGCCATGCTGATCTGACAGGAGGCGGAACTCAGGCGGTAATCTCGCTCGCCTGCCAACGCTCACCTCCTGCTGTTCAGTCCAGGTTCCTAACAGGCCTTGGACCTGTACCAGTCCATGGCCCAGGGGTTGAGGACCCCTGGTCTATACCACCTGCCATTAGTCATTCAGTAGCCTTCTTGGTTATCAGATTAGCTGTTTTACTATTGCAGTGCTTGTGTTCAAGTAACCCTTAGTTTACTTCATAATGGCCCCAGAGTGCAAGAGTAGTGATGCTACTATGTTCTGTTTTATTACTATTATTGTTCATCTCTTACTGTGCTTAATTTTTATCATAGGTACGTATATATAGGAAAAAGCACAGATTACATTTTAATGCCAAAAACTGCCGGAATTACTTTTGCACCAACCTAATGTAAGGTTCAGTATCATCTTCAGTTTCAAGCATCCACTGGGGGTCTCGGAACGTATCCCCCAAGGATAAGGGGGAACCACTGTAATGACACCTAGTCCTTGGATAATATAATGCATAGGAAACAGTACAGTTCCTGGCATATGGCAAGCCCTCAATGAATGGTAGGATTATGATGATTCAAGTGATGGCAATGATGACAGAGTAGTAAATACTGGTGATCCCTTTTAGATAATTTTTTTCAGCATATGGTACTTTCTTCTTTCTTTCTTTTATTTTTTGAATGCTAGTAGAGATTAAAAGATGCTACTTAACTCAAGGTGTAGATAAGCCGTGAAGTACACAACTTTGTCAATGTACTTCAGCTTTGACAAAATGTACACAGCTGTGACAAAATGGCTTTGTCAATTATCACAGTTCTGTCCCTCAGCCTCAGCTAAGATAATTCATAGAGATTTTCCCTACAAAGTCTGACATAGTCATTCTGAGATGACCTAATAGCTGGGGAGTGCTTTTCTTCCCCTATAAAATAACAAGTCCCATTCCTTCCCTATCCTCAAAGGATCACCAACATTTTTAAAACATTTCTAAAACATTTCAAATGTTAGAAACATTTTTCTGTCTTATGAGTGGAATTGCAATAGAAGGAATGAAATGAAATAGTGGGTGAAAGTACTTAAATGCTAGTTACTAAGACCGAGATCATTGCAGAAGGAGACTACAGCAACAGTCCAGTGTTATTCATGGGATGGGTACAGGTACTCCTGGTGCAGGCAGGAAAGTATTTAAATACCACACACCCACCAACCTTGAAACCTTGAGCCACGCTTAGGTGGCAGGGATTCCTCACTACTTACCTATAAATTGGGAATAACAATAGCAGCTTTCCCTGCCAGGGAGAATAAATCTGGTAATAGATGCAAAGACCTTACTCCACTGCCTGGCACAAAGGAAACTCTAAAGTAGAAGCTGCTATTATTACTAATTATTATTATTATTCTTTTTTAGAGACAAGGTCTAGCTCTGTCTCCCAAGCTGGTCTCAAATTTCCTGGCCTTAAGCAATCCTCCTGCCTCAGCCTCCCAAGTAGCTGAGATTACAGTCATTAGCCACCATGTGTGGCTTCTAAATATATGTATTATATTTATTATATATGTATTATTATTATCAATTTTTTAAATAGAGGCAAGGTCTCACTATGTTGCCCAGGCTGGTTTCGAACTCCTGAGCCCAAGTGATCCTCCTGTCTTGGCCTCCCAAAGTGCTAGGATTACAGGCTCCTAGTTATAATTTTTAGGCCCAGGCACTCTGCTAGGCCCTTCATATGTTAAAATTATAGCCCCATAAGGCAGGATCATTATCCCATTTTATAGAAGAGGAGCCTATGGCTGAGATAAGTCATTTGTCCAAGTCACACAGCTGTTAAGTGGTGGGGCCAGGAGTTGAACCCAGGACTGGCTGGTGCCTAAGCCTTAGGGGCAGCCCAAGCAACCAACACTGTGACTCAGGTTTGTTCCATTCCTCCTTCCCTGCCTCATTCCTGCGAGCTGCTGACAGTCACACTGTTTATTTTCTGAGAGATAACAGTCTCTCTCAGAACAGGGACCATTTTACAGATGATGAAGCTGAGATCCAGAGAAGGAAAATGGCTTGCACAAGATTAAAAGCTGGCTAGGGTAAATGCTACCAGCAGATGTGTGGGTTTCTGCCTGTCAATCTCTTCCTGTGTTATTCTGGTCCTAGTTCTGGCTCATATAGGTGGTCAATAAATACTTGCTGAACTGAAGTGCTGAGTGCTTTATATGCACCGTGCTTATTCATCGCCGCATTGACCCTGAAAGGTATTACTGTCCCTATTGTACAGATGAGGAAACAGACCTGTACATGGAACTGCCTAGATAAATTTGGCCTCTGTACAGGGCCCGGGATGCCTTTCTCAGCAGCCCCACGTGGAGAGGTAATCCTCCTCCTATATGAACAGCCAGGGGTGAAGCTCCCAGTGGTATTTGACAGATGCTATCAGGGCCCTGGGCCCTTCCAGCTGGGGCTCAGACTTGTTTGGTAGGAATGTGGTGAAATTACATAGGAACTTACGGCTCACGCATATCTGGCTACACCTGGAGCCCGTATGAAAAGGAGTGTACAGTCACCCGTGCCAAGACATTAGCTCAAACTATGTGGCTCCATGGTGGGAGCCAGGAGACCACATGGCAGAAATAGCACTAGACTCAGAAGCCCTGGGTTCTAGTCCAGGTCCTATCGATAACTCACCGAATAACCTCAGCCAAGCCCCCTTTCCCATCAACTAAATGGAGTCTGGCCTGTAAATGAAATGCTACAGGAAGGCTCAATATAGAAACCTAGGAAAAGCAGACCTGCTTTGGGAAGGTCAGCAGAGTAGAGCTTATTATTTCTATTTGGTAGACGATCCCCGAAAGTCTAACGGCTTAGTTAAGGTAACTCAGGAAGAAGAGGGCCATGTGGCCCCACAGCAAATCATGAAGACAAGGTCAGCCTGTGCCCTCACTACCCGTCCCTGGGCCTCCAGTGAGAGCAGATGGCCGTGCCCCATCACAGGCAGGGATAGGGCCCCACAGGGATGGCCACACAGTGTCTACACCCTTCATCACAGGATCTATGCCCACAGCTGGGGCTGGAGATGCTTGTGCAGGGACAAGATGTGACCTTGCCTCAGACTTGGAGCGGTGCCATGGCTCTGGGAGCTGAGGGAACAATAAAAAGCTCCAGGATCTACTTCTTGAAATTGATCCTGCAAAAATAATTATGAGTAGGGACAAATATTTAAATCCAAGGATGCTTCTCCAATGACAGGAACAGATTAAATACATAATGGCTTATGCAGGTTTTGGCACACCCGTTTGATTGATGTGGAAGAATATGTAATGGTGTACAAAGATGGCCACAATGTATTTTTTGAATGAAAAAAGCAGATTACAAAACAGTATGTTGTTATGATCTCATTTTTATAAAAACATTTCTTCATACATAGAAAAATAAATGTTAAAATGTTAATATTTTAGGCTTGAAAATTAAGAATTTTTCTCCTATTTTTGGGTAGTTTCTCCCCATCCAACCTTTTTTTTTTAATGATGAAAACTGCAATGTTACCCAGACCTTGTAAAAAAAAAAATTCAAACAACAGAGAGTATTATCCGCCTGCCATAACCCTAAGCCTCTGCTAAGGATGATTAATTTTTTTTCTTCTTTTACTTCTCCATATTTTCAAAATTATTCATAATAAGCATAAATTGCTTTGGCAAAATGCAAGAGAAAACAAAATTTTACAAAAAAGCACAAACAATGCTCTACAGTATGGGCCTGGCTGGGCAGAGGGCAAAGGCTGGGATCTGGACAGACTCCTCATAAGACAGAGCCCAAGGAGTCTCTGCCCAGGAGGAATTGGCCACTGGTTGACTGAGGCTCCTTCTTTCCCCATGATGTCCCAGTAGCTGGTGAGAGATCTGGAGTATCGTGTGGTGTGCACAGGACACAGAAAGCCATTTCCTTCTCTAGATATACCAACTGACACTGAGGAACGAGGAGCAAGGGGCATAAACCCCAGTTCTGCCTCTGCCAAGCTGTGGGGCCTTGGGCAAGTGACTTAACCTCTCTGAGTCCTCCTGTGGTAATTGTGATACTAATACCTCTCTCACACATGACAGGGTGACTGTGAAGATTAAATGGCCAGCACGCGGAGGTGTTTGGTCAGTGCTAGCTCCTTCCCATCCCTGCCCATGTCTGGCACCACTGAGCAGATGGGACTCTGAGAGCAGCATCCTGAGGTCCCTTCACAATAGCTCCTTTGGTGGTCTCGTGGCCCAGTCCCCAGAATCCAGTCAGGTCTGGGTATAAACAATCTGCTGTAAATGCCTCTACAGAGCCAGATGTCACCCAATTCTGGATGACATGTCTCGGCAGCATTTAGGTTCTTCCCTATCCAGCCTAAGTGCTACTCTCCCAGACAAACGACCCTGGCTGTGGCCACTTACATTTTGGCTTCATAGTCCTTCCATGCCTTCTCCAGCTGTTTTTTGGAATCCTGTGGGTTAAAAAAGGACAATTTGCCCAGAGGGAAGCTGGAGCACTGGAATAAACAGTATGCTCTGCTGCCTGTAGGAGGACCTGCTAGTGTGCTCCCCTGAGCTGCTCAGAGCCCTTCTCTAACCAGCCCCTGCCCCCACAGTCCTGCTGCAAACCTGCCCCCACCAAACAGGCTCAGCTGACCCCATTTCTCAGAGCTAAGGCCCTCCTCCCAGCAGACCTTCTCCTCCCCAGAGATGCCAAGAATCAGTCAGGTTTGGTGGGCCATGGCTTGGGGTGTGAAGAGATCTTTGGGCTCTACCCTGAGTCCTCTTGCTCAGAAGAGAGATCAGTCATGACCATGAGGATGGGAGGATGAAGGCCAAATTCCCCCTGCCTAACTTTAGCCCAGCATTTTCTCCTGCCTGGTGCTAGATCATCCTCTTAGAGCAAGGGTACAGGTCAAGGAACATGCACAGAGAGGTTGAGAAGTCTACCCCAGGCCATACAGCAAACCAGGGAGACCTGACTACCCCCTGCCTAGCTTGCCTAAGCCTCATCCAGCCAGGCTGCTCACACCCTTCTGAACAACCCCGAGACTCCCAAGGTGAAAAAGCTGCCTGTCTGGTTTGTGTGGTTAGCAGGCTGGTGCCACGCTGGCAGCCTAGGGCAGGGAGGGAACCCTCTTGGGGGAGCACGGCTCCTCCCCTGGGCCGTCTGGGGCAGATTGCCCAGAGAGATTATTCTGTCACCTTCTTTGAGCTCCACTCTGCATCCAGCCAAGGGCTGCCAGGCACAGAGAAAGCAGCTCGAGTATGGGATTCAGGATCCCTGGATTCCCACATGGGCTCTCTACTTCCTAGTTATGTAAACCATCAGCAGGTTACCTAACTCCCTTGGCCTCGAATTTCAACTGCAAAATGGGGATGAGTGTACCCACAAAGCCTACCTCATAGGATGGTTGTAAGATTTACATGACATGTTTCACACAAGGGGCCTGGCAGACAGCAGGTCAGCCATCCTAGGCTGACCCGAGCCAGGTCCTCCAGACCTCCCCAGGCTCATCACTCCCGCTAAGACAGCCCCTTCACCTGGCCTCCACCCTCAGTCCAGCCCTGCCCCCCAACAGTCTCCTGCCCACCCCTCTTTTACTCTGTCCCACCACCACTCCCAGCATGGAGACTCACCTGTCGACCGTCCCTCAGCTGCCCCTTCATCAGACTGTCCAGGGGGAAAGAGACAATGTTGTTCAAGTTCTGAATCTGGAAAAAACAGAGACGCTCATTCCCGCCTCAGGTGACCGGCATCCAGCCCCTAGGGATTCGGTGTACAGTGAAGCATCACTTGGCAAAGAGAGCAGCGGGGAAGGGAAGTAGGGGAGAGGAAAAGATGTTATCAAAGAGATGACAGCCAAGTAAGGGGGACCGTCATGGCAGGAGTGCTGAGCCTGCGGGGGGGGACTAGAGGATCCAGCTCTGGGGTCTGCTTAGGATGGCTGACCTGCTGCCCGCCAGGCTTCCTGTGTGAAAGGGGGCAGGAGGGGAGGCCGAGGTGTGTCAGAGTGAGCCCCTTCCCTGATGGCTCCAGCCTCATCGCTGCACTGCTCCAGCAGCATCCCACAGTCAATCTCTCCCCTGTTCCTCGCCAGGAGCAGCCTCCCTTCTCCTCTCTGACTCTCTCAAGTTGACCTGTAGTGCACGTCTGTTGTTCTGGGCTGGCTAACGCTTCAGAGCCTCCCCTATTAATGGTCATAGAACCCCCTTTCCTGTGGGGAACTCCTCCTCTGTGGTCAGATGGGGTAAACGCAGAAGTCAGATCTGAGCAGGGCACCCCAGCCCCAGGATAGAGGGACTGGATAGGGAACAGGCACGCACCCAAGCCAGCCAATCACAATCCTCGCTGGGATTTTTCTGCCTAAGTTGTGGGAGAAAGACCATCTTTATTTTGGTAAGATGGGCATCTGGGCCTGCTGGGCTATCCTGTCCACTGAGCAGAGACAGAGAAACTACCTTAAGAGGAAAGGATAGAGCCTAAGCCAGCTGCGCCCCTGGACTTCTCATTACAGGGGCTAATGAATTCCCTTTTAAAAATTTAACCTAGTTTGAGTTGGGTTTCTGTGATTTCGCAACCTAAAGAGGCCTAATATTTCAACCAGCTTCCAAGGTACAGCTTGGGTCTCTCCTCCTCCAGGAAGTCTCTCCTGGCTACTCCTCCCGCCTGGTCTATGCTGATCTCCCCTTTTCTGAACCATGGCAGCACTAGGCCTCTGACACCAGCTGCTGGGTCCTTGAGTTTGTGCCATGCTGCTGGTATTTCTTGACACTAGTCCACACCCTAGTTTTTCTCTCCCCCACTAGACTGTGGCTCTCTGAGGCAGTCTGACACTTTCCTGTGTCACCAACCCCTGGTACAATGTCCACTAGACAGCAGACCCCCAGGAAACACTAGTTTGACTGAAACAGGGAGAGAAGAGGTGAAGACAAAGAAGGACACTAATTCAATTGAACTCAAACACTATTTTTTTTTTTGAGACAGGGTCTTGCTTTGTCACCCAGGCTGGAGCACAGTGGTGTGATCACACTCACTACAGCCTCAACTTCCCCCAGGCTAAACTGATCTTCCTACTTCAGCATCCCGAGTAGCTGGGACCACAGGCATACGCCCCCACACCTGGCATTTTTTTTTTTTTTTTTTTGAGATGGAATCTCGCTCTGTCACCCAGGCTGGAGTGCAGTGGCATGATCTCAGCTCACTGCCACCTCCGCCTCCCGGGTTCAAGTGATTCTCCTGCCTCAGCCTCCTGAGTAGCTGGGATTACAGGCACCTGATACCACACCCAACTAATTTTTGTATTTTTTCGCAAAGACAGTTTCACCATGTTGGCCAGGCTGGTCTCGAATCTCTGACCTCAAGTGATCCGCCCACCTTGGCCTCCCAAAGTGCTGGGATTACAGGCGTGAGCCACCGCACCCGGCAATTTTCATACTTTTGTAGAGTCAGGGTCTCACTACATTGCCCAGGCTGGTCTAGAGCTTCTGGGCTCAAGCGATCCACACACCTCAGGCTCCTAAACCACTGGGATTAAGGTTTGAAATGTTGCACCCAGCCTCAAACACTGTTAAAGGCTTTTTACATGCAGGACAGTGTACGAGGCACAGCTATGCCAAGAGCTATAACAATGATAGATTTTATTAGGTTGGTGCAAAAGTAATTGCTGTTTTGCCATTAATATAATATTAGCCAACATTTACTGAGCGCTTACCATAAAGTAGGCACTAACTTGCTTAATCCTCATTACCGCTCTGTGAGGTAGGCAGCATTATTATCCCAGTTTCACAGATGAGAGACCTGGGGCTTGGGCAGACTGAGTGACTTGACCTAGTAAGCAGCAGAGTGAAGATTCCAAGCTGGAGTCTAGGTCCAAGGTTGGGTGCTTAACCACTGAGCACACTGCCTCTCAAGGATGATGTGGCCCCTGCCAACCAGGGAGGATGCTGGGTAGGACTGGAGCCACAAGAGCTGGTCCAGTGCCATGGAGCCTGGAGGGAGATGAGAGGCTTTCCTGGGAGGCAGTGTAGCCAGGCTTATGCTTGGACTCTGGAGCCAGACAACCTGGGTTCAAACCGAACCGTGTGACCTCGGGCAAGCTGCTTAACCTTGAGGTCCTAGTTTCCTAGCCTGTAAGGTGGAGACAACAGTCACACCAGCCCCACAGAGCTGTGCATCCGGATCGAATGAGTGAACACATGAACTAGTGAGAACTGTGCCTGCACATGGGAAGAGCTGCTGTCACAGGGTGGCCTTGAGGAAAGGACTTGAAGGACCAGAGAGGAGGCAGTCACCAAGGAGGCCATCGGGAAGCAACCCGAGGCCACTGGGCCATGTACAGGGGCTGAGACGCTTGTGGAGGCAGGGACAGGTCCTGGGATTTAAGTACGAAGCAGATGTGGATTGGGAAAGCAGAGGACAAAGAGGGAGTGAGGAGAGGAGGAGGCGGTGGCAGCGGTGGTGGTGGCAGTGGCAGCAGTAGTGGTATAAAGGTAGGAACCCCCGAGCCTGTCTCTCCTTTATCCCAAAGCTCCTCCAGGGAACCCTCCCTTGCACGGGGCTCTTCCCTGCTGTGAGACCCCCTCTGCTCCTGGGTGAAGAGAAGGAGGAGAACAGAGAGAAGAGTTAGTTGGGTAAGAAGCCAGAGAGAAAGGAGGATTATCCAAAAGAAGGGTCAGGGCTGGAAAGGGACCTCAGGTCTGAACTCAGGTCAGAGATCAAGGGCAAATTGGGAGAAGGAAGGAAACGGACCCTTTCCCAGTCAGGTTCTTAAGACCACTAGATTTACCCTGAGTCTGGGCAAGGAAGAGACAGGGGCCTCACCAGGTTCTTGAAGAGCGCAGCAACCTCGCGGGTGAACACGGCCAAGTTTAGGAAGCCTGTGGACAGCTCATGGCTGTTCTGGGACAGGTGGCTGTTGCCTAAGGATTCCACGGCCTCTCGGTACTGCTCTTCATTCTCCACATGGCCTGTGGAGGTACAGACGGGAGCTTGGAGTTAGCTCCAGGCTGGGGCTGGGAGAGGGGCTTCCTGACCAGGCGGGGCACCCAGGAGGCTCACTTACCAAGGCCGGAGCTATGGATTGCCCGCACAGCCTTCTTTATTCTCTGCAGGATGGCTTGGTCTCCTTCCAAGATCTGGAAGCAAATGTGGACAGAGGTTCAGGGATGCCAAGCTGGAATAGGGTGCTTCCTTCAGGAACGCTGTATCTATGATTTCCACCCCCCAACCGCCCTCCAAACAAATACATTGAGTTTTGCTGTCCTCTGGAACTTATCCCTAGGGTCTTCCTGTTTACCCCACCAAACAAAAAACCACACAGAAACCACAGACCAGTCACACCACTCCAAGAAGACCACAGACTTTTCTCCCTGAATCCAATGCAGCGTAAATGTAGTGAGTCAAAGGTACGTGGCATGACAGGGTGTGCCAGGCCTGGGTTTGAATCTTGCCTCTGGCAGTAGCTGGTGTGTCCGTTAGACAAATCTGTTAACTTCTCTGAGCCTTGAGTGCCTTGTCTACAAAATGGGGATGATACTAGGGGACTTGTGGAGTTGCTGAGAAGATGAATGATTTGTAAATATGTACAAAATGCTGAGCAAAAGGCCAGAGGGGAGAACACACACATCTCTATCTTCCCTTAAGATACAAAGCAGGGTACACTTGTTCACCAAACCCCAGGCTCAATAAACAGTTATGTCAGGACAAGGAGGAAGAGGCCAGGATGCTATGGGTGAGCAGAGAGGGGTTGGAGGCATTCAGTTACCTGAGTCTGGGGAGATGGCAGAGGGTGGCGGGAGCACACTCCATCACCACTGGGGAGAACTGGAGAGACAACACCAGATAACCCCAAAGCCCAGAGGCTGCAGAACAAACATCAGAATGTGGGAAAGGCCAGAGATGTGATGGCAAGAAGCAAGTCTCACATGCCCCAAGCAGGCTCAGCCTAGATGGGAAACACTCCCCCTTTCAGTGGGGCATGGAAGTTGACAACCTCATGAAATCCTTGCGAAATGCACAGTTAACTTGGAAAACACAGAATGTCGAGCTGGAAGGGGCCCACAGATGAGAAAACTGAAGCCAAGAGATGGGAGGCCCTTACCGAGAGACACATGGTGGGGAAGCCACAGAGCTGGACTTCCCGGGTGCAACAGAACAGTGTTCCATCCATGTACCACAGCCCCACCCTGACCCCAGCCCAGCTGTTCTTCCCAGTGACAAAAATAAAATGGGATCAGAGTCTGATTTCCAGAGTTACATGACAAGAGTTAGTAAACACATTGGAAATGGTACTGCCAAAGATTCAAAATGATACCCACAGGAGAACATGCATAGGGCAGAACTCAGAGGCAATGTGGAGTGTTCTCAGAGGCCGGTGGCATGTGGGAAGCCTCTGGAGGAAGGGGGGTCTAGTTACGAAGCTCAGCTCCACTACTCGGGGGCTATGTGACCTTGAACAAGTTGCCTATTTTTTTTGAGACCAAGTTTTGCTCTTGTTGCTCAGGCTGGAGTGCAGTTGCACAATCTTGGCTCACTGCAACCTCTGCCTGCCAGGTTCAAGCAATTCTCCTGCCTCAGCCTTCTGACTAGCTGGGATTACAGGTGCCCACCACCTGGCTAATTTTTTGTATTTTTAGTAGAGACGGGGTTTCATTGTGTTGGCCAGGTTGGTCTCAAACTCCTGACCTCAAGTGATCCACCCGCTTCGGCCTCCCAAGGTGCTGCGATTACAGGCATGAGCCACCGTGCCCGGGCACAAGTTGCCTATTCTTTCTGAGCTTCCTGATTAGCCATGTGTAAAATGGGGAAATCGATGCCTACCTCTCAGGGTTGGTATGAGGGCTATATGTATGAGAGGATGCAAATACAGGATTTAGCTTGGTGCTAGGCATGGAGTATGTTCAAAATGAACAGCACCTGTGATCGTTATCATCAGCTGCTGCTGATGCTAGGAAGGTCTGCCAAGTTCCAGGTGCTTTTCCTACAGGGGCTAGAAATCTAACATTCTCCTCCTCGGGTGTGAACTTGAGACACTTTCATATTTGAGATCCGTGGAGGCCCATCCCAGGGCTGAAGAAAGAAAACAAAAGAATCAGGAAGATTAAGGAGACGGCATCATATTTGAGTTGGTTAAAACATGAGGCTGGGCATGGTGGCTCATGCCTATAATCCCAGCACTTTGGGAGGCAGAAACAGGAGGATCACTTGAGGCCAGGAGTTCAAGACCAGCCTAGGCAATATAGTGAGACCTTGTCTCTACCGAAAAGAAAAAATAAATAAATTAGCTGGGTGTGGTGGGGTGCACCTGTAATTCCAGCACTTGGGGAGGCCAAAGCAGGAGGATCACTTGAGCCAAGGAGTTCAAGACCAGCCTGGACAGCTTGGCGAAACCCCATCTCCATGTGGTGGCATGCACCTATAGTCCCAGCTACTTGGGAGGCTGAGGTGGGAGGATCACCTGAGCCTGGGGAGGTCAAAACTGCAGTGAGCCCTGATTGCGCCACTGCACTCCAGCATGGGTGACAGAGAGAGCCCTGTCTCAAAAAGCAAAGCAAACAAACAAAAAACAACCAAAATGTTTCTTACTAAAGAGACAAAGAGGTGGAGGGGAGAACGTTTCTTTCTAAACTGGCCAACAGAAAAAGAAAAAAAAAAAGAGGCAAGAACATGGCCACTTCTATGGTTCCCCAAAATCCAGATGGGGAAACAGAAGCATGTGTTTACCAAATCCCTTGATCCCCATCTTGAAACCTGGAAAGCTAAAAGGTGAGTAATTTAAGGAGCTATGATTTCGCTCTAAAAGACAATTCAGGTTAAAGATATGAACAACTGGGCCAGCACAGTGGCTCACGCCTGTAATCCTAGCACTCTGGGAGGCCAAGGCAGTGGATCACCTGAGGTCAGGAGTTCAAGACCAGCCTGACCAACATGGCGAAACACTGTCTCTACTAAAAATACAAAAATTAGCTGGGCGTGGTGGTGCACACCTGTAATCCCAGCTACTCAGGAGGCTGAGGAAGGAGAATCTCTTGAACCCGAGAGGTGGAGGTTGCAGTGAGCTGAGATGGTACCACTGCACTCCAGCCTGCACAATGGGAGCGAGACTCCATCTCAAAAAAAAAAAAAAAAAAAAAAGATATGAACAATTTCCAAAAAAATTTCCAAAATCCCTAGAGGGCAGATCCATGTACCTAGCACACAGAAGGTGCCCAATAAATGTTTACCTAAATGAATGATGGTTTGCAAAGTCCTGGGACATGGACCTGAGAGGAGTATGTTCATGCTCTAGATACATTCTGAGGAGTCTTCCCATCCCATGACACCCATTTTCTGAAAACTGCCCTCCCTTCCTCTGGAGGTGGGCCCCTGCAGCCTTGTTTGTTCTAGCCAGAGTCGACAGACACCTGGTTCAAGCTAAACCAATCAGATTCTCTCTCCCACCTGACCCAAGCTGGACCAATCAGATTCTCTCTCCAAGGACTTTGGAATTGGGCTCTGGAAAGCTAGTTGACTGACTGAAATGCTAAAGCTGGGATGTCCTTCCTGCCACATGCAGAGAGAAAAGAACAGAGCAGATGTGTAGAAAGACATGAACAAGCCCCACACCGCCACAGCAAGGCAGAAGAGGAAGAGTGGTGCTGGTTTCTGGCAACTTTCCAGATGCTACCTCTTCAGAGGCAACCTCCACACATTATGTCTTTGGTGAAATTCCATGAAATACCCCTGAATCCACCCAACGAAGTTCCTTTAAGCAAGTTTGAGAAGATTTCCCTTCCCTGCAGTGTGGCAGAGATCACTGGGTGGCTCCCAGTGTCCATTCTCTCTTCTTCCTTCACAAGAAACCTGACTTTTCAGATGGCCACTTGGCGACCTAGAATAAAGACTACATTTCCTACCTTGCAGCTAACTGTGGTCATGGGACTAAGTCCTGGCCATGGAATATAATATTTTAATTGTTAACTTCCAAAAAGTATCTTACAAAGAAGGGAGATAACCCCCAAACTCATCAAGTTGTATACACTGACTATGTATAGCTTTTTACATGTCAATCCTACCTCAATAAAGTGGCTTTAAAAAATTGAAAAATAAAAAGGAAGGGAGGGACTACACACCTGTTAGAATGGCCAAAATCCAAAACACTGACAACACCAAATACTGGCAAAGGGAGGCCGGGCACGGTGGTTCACGCCTATAATCCCAGCACTTTGGGAGGCTGAGGCTGGTGGATCACTTGAGGCCAGGAGTTCAAGACCAGCCTGGCAAACATGGTGAAACCCTGTCTCTACTAAAAATACAAAAATTAGCCAGGCGTGGTGGCACACCGCTGTAGTCCCAGCTACTCGGGAGGCTAAGGCAGGAGAATCATTTGAACCTAGGAGGCGGAGGTTGCAGTGAGCTGAGACAGTGCCACTGCACTCCAGCCCAGGTGACAGAGTGAGACTCCATCTCAAAAAAAAAAAAAAAAAAAACCAAACAAAAACACACACACACACAAATAAATAAATAAATAACCCCAAAACACAAATACTGACAAAGATGTGGAGCAACAGAAACTCCCATTGTTGGTGGGAATGCAAAATGGTACAGCCACTTCGGAAGACAGTTTGACAGTTTCTTAACTAAACGTACTCTTGCCAAATGAGTCAGCAATCATACTCCTTCATATTTTCTCAATGAGTTGAAAACGTATACATACCTGCACACGGATGTTTACATCAGCTTTATTCATAATTACCAAAATTTGGAAACAACCAAGATGTCCTTCAGTAGGTGAATGGATAAAGAAATTGTCATGCATCCAGAGAGTGAAATATTATTCATCACTGAAAAGAAATGAGCTATCAAACCATGAAAAGATGCAGAGGAAAGTTACATGCACATCACTAAGTGAAAGAAGCCAATTTGAAAAGGCTACTACATGATTTCAACTATACGATATTCTGGAAAAGGCAAAACTATGGAGACAGTAAAAAGATCAGTGGTGGCCAGGGATGGGGGTAGTGAGGAGGAACAGGTGAAGCACAGAGGGTTTTTAGGGCAGGGAAACATTTCTGTATGATGCTATAATGGTGGATACATGGAATTATACACTTGTCCAATCCCACAGAATGTACAACACTAAGAGTGAACCCTAATGTAAACTATGGACTTTTGGTGATGATGTGTCAATGTATGGTCATTGAAACAAATGTACCACTCTGGTAAGAGCTGTTGACAGAGGGGGAGGCTGTGTGTATATGGTAACTCTATGTACTTCCTGCCCAATTTTGCTGTGAACCTAAAACTGCTCTAAAAAATAAAGTCGATTTTTTTTAATTTAGAAAAAAAGGGCCTGGGGTGGGGTGGCTCACGGCTGTAATCTCACACTTTGGGAAGCTGGGGCGGGAGGATTGCTTGAGCCTAGTTCGAGGCCAGCCTGGGCAACATAGTGAGAGTCTGTCTCTACAAAAAATTAAAAACCAGGCATGGGGCATGGGCCTATAATTCCAGCTACTCAGGAGGCTGAGGTGGGAGGACTGTTTGACCCCAGGGAGTTGAGGCTATAGTGAGCTGTGATCGTGCCACTGCACTCCAGCCTGGGCAACAGAGCAAGACCCTGTCTCAAACGCACCCCCCCACAAAAAAAAAAAACAAAAGAAAAAAGGGGAATGCAAGGGTACCCTCTGTCACCCCTTTCTTCTGGCTACAATGTGCTGGCGATGTCTAGAGCTCAGGCAGCAATCCTGGACCATGAAGTAGAAGCCATTTGTTATGGATGGCGGAGCAACAAGATATCAGCCTTGTCCCTAGTGATTAGGAAACTACCCTAGCAGCCCCAGTCTACTTATCTGTGGAATTCTTTAATATGAAAGAGAAATCTCTTATTTGAGCCACTGTTATACTGGGTATTCTGCCACTTGTGGCTGAAACTAGCTCTAACTGGTAAAGGGAGACAAGTCACCCGAATCACTCACAGACTGTTTTTCTTTTCTTTTTTTTTTTTTGAGATGGAGTCTCGCTTTGTAGCCCAGGCTGGAGTGCAGTGGCACAATCTCGGCTCACTGCAAGCTCTGCCTCCCGGGTTCACGCCATTCTCCTGACTCAGCCTCCCGAGTAGCTGGGACTATAGGCGCCCGCCACCACGCCCGGCTAATTTTTTGTATTTTTTAGTAGAGACGGGGTTTCACCGTGTTAGCCAGGATGGTCTCGATCTCCTGACCTCATGATCCGCCTGCCTCGGCCTCCCAAAGTGCTGGGATTACAGGCGTGAGCCACCGCGCCCGGCCACAAACTGTTTTTCGATGCCCTTGTCAGACATCTATCAGGAAACAGCTTCCCAGCCAGATACCATTCCCGTCCCTACTGCTCTTGGCAGCCAAGTTCACATGGCTGTTTATTCATTCAATTAGTTATTGAGTGCCCACTACACCCTGTGTAAAAAAGACACAATCTCAGCCGGGCACAGTGGCTCACACCTGTAATCCCAGCACTTTGGGAGGCTGAGGCTGGCAGATCACGAAGTCAAGATCGAGACCATCCTGGCTAACACGTCTCTACTAAAAATACAAAAAATTAGCCGGGCATGGTGGCATGTGCCTGTAGTCCCAGCTACTAGGGAGGCGGAGGCAGGAGAATCGCTTGAACCTGGGAGGCGGAGGCTGCAGTGAGCTGAGATCACGCCATTGCACCCCAGCCAGGAGGGCAGTGTGAGACTCCGTCTCAAAAAACAAACAAAAAAGACACAATCTCAGCTCTCAAGGACATCATCATTGAAGGGAAGAAAAAGCCATTATAAGCAGACACTTATCATGCAATGTGATGAGGGCTATGATGGAAGGTTCCTGGGAGTCCAGGGAAAACAGAGCCATGTCTGCTTTGAAGGAATGGGGAAGGCGTCCCTTAAGCTGTGTTGCTTAACTCTGGCCCCTGGACAGGCAGAAAAGAGACTAAAGAGACTACACTATGAGGTAGAGGGGAGGGAATGCTTGGTAAAAAATGGTAGGACTGCCAGGAAGGGAGGCGTGCTCTGGGAAGAATGGACAAGGACAGGAACATAGTTCCTCCATTCATTCATTCATTTCAACAAGCATTTCTTGGTGACTGTTTCAGCCAGGCATGGTGCCAGATGGTGGGGACACATAAGACATGGCCCCTTCCTTCAAGAGAACCACAGACTTAAGAACATGCAAGTGCCCATAGGGAGCATGAAAAGGGAAAAGTTCTAATTACTCCTTTCTCAAGAAAATATCTGAAAATCATTTACACTGGTTGATAACACCTATCCTGTGGTATAATAGGGCTCAAAGATTTAAGCTAAAGAAATGCAGGTTTTTTTTTTTAATCCACTCATCCACACACTCATAAAAAAATTTAGTTTTAAGGAGACGATTCTGATAGTAGCCTGGGGAAAGGAAGGTATTTTGAGGAAAGGCAGAGGTTTCCAGAGTGCTATGATGAGTCAGTAACTAAGATTCTAGCCCCAGCATCTCCAAAATTATCTCCTTGGGTGATACTAGCCCAGCTAGTTTTCTAAACTTCCTCTCCTTTAAAATAGATTTTTATTTTTTTATTTTTTTATTTTTGAGATGGAATCTCGCCCTGTTGCCCAGCCTGGAGTGCAATGGCACAATCTCGGCTCACTGCAACCTCCGTCTCCCAGGTTCAAATGATTCTCCTGCCTCAGCCTCCCGAGTAGCTAGGATTACAGGTGCCCGCCACCATGCCTGGCTAATTTTTATCTTTAGTAGAGACGGGGTTTCACCATGTTGGCCAGGCTGGTCTCAAACTCCTGACCTCGTGATCCGCCTGCCTCGGCCTCCCAAAGTGCTGGGATTACAGGCAGAAAAATCCATTCTCTGCTTAACTCACAGAATTACTGTGAGGCTTAATGAGATCACAAACATGGCAAGGCTTGAGGCATTTGGAAAACATGAGTATGGTTCTTACTGTGGTTTGTTTTCTGCCTCTGTGTGAGATCAGCCCTCGTTTCCCATGAAACTGGATAGATGAAGGAAAAGCCAGGTGTGGCGGCTCCCTCCTATCATCCCAGCACTTTGGGAGGCCAAGGTGAGAGGATCGCTTGAGCCCAGGAGTTCAAGACCAGCCTCGGCAACAAAGTGAGACCCCCACCCCGATCTATACCAAAAAAAAAAAAAATTTTTTTTTTTGAGACACAGTCTCTCTCTGTTGCCCAGGTTGGAGTGCAGTGGTGTGATCTCGGCTCACTGCAACCTCCACTTCCCAGGTTCAATCGATTCTCCTGCCTCAGGCTCCTAAGTAGTTGGGACTACAGGTGCCCGCCACCATGCCCGGCTAATTTTTGTATTTTTAGTAGAGATGGGGTTTCGCCATGTTGGCCAAGCTGGTTTCAAACTCCTGACCTCAACTGATCCTCCTGTCTTGGCCTCCCAAAGTGCTGGGATTACAGGCATGAGGCACTGCACCCGACCATTACAAAAAATTTTTTAAAAAAGTTAGCCAAGTGCTGTGACACACACCTGTAGTCCCAGCTATTTGGGAGGCTGGGATGAGAGGAGCCCTTGAGCCCAGGAGTTCGAGGTTGCAGTAAGCTATAATCATGCCACTGCACTCCAGCCTGAGTGACAGAATGAGACACTGTCTTAAAAAAAAAAAAAAAAAAAAAAAAAAAAAAAAAAATCAGCTTCTGGGTTCAGGTGGGCCCATTTAATCCCTGATAGTCAGAGATTCTCAAGGTGGGGGCCCTCAACCAGCAGCAGGCATCATCCAGGAACTTGTTAGAAAAGCAAATTCTCCAGCTGAATCAGAAAATCTGGGGGTGAGGTCCAGCAATCTGTGGTTTAACAAGCCCTCCAGGTGATTCTAATGCATGCTAAAGTTTGGGAATTACTGTTCTAATTCTCTTCAGAGATGCAGTACATCATCATTGCTAAAAGTATGGGGCTGTCCCCAAACTACCTGGATTTGAATTCCAGCTCCACCAGGTACCTGATGTGATCTCTCAGTCCCTCAATTTCCCCATTCATAAAATGAAGATGATAATATTGCGTACCACATAAGGTTACTGGGGAGATTAAGTAAATTCTATAGGTAAAGTGCTTAGAATACTGTCCACTATTTGATAACTAAAAATGTTATCTACTTCAAAATTAAATTGAATTTGGTTTAGGAATTTCTCAACTTTCATTGAATTAATTAAACATATCTCCCCACACCCCCAACTCCATGTTGATCCTCGTCAGCAAGCTGTGGGGAAGCACAGGTGGAGAGGGACCACAGCAGACCTCTGCCGCCGGGCAGGGAGAGTGCAAGCAGCATGTCCCAAGTGCCTGCTCTGTGCAGCCTCATTACTTGTCACTATCCTGGCCACTCTTTGAGGAAGGCATTGCCATTCCCATTTTAAAGATGAAGCTGTCAGGAGGAGGAACATGTCCAAGTCACACAGTGATGAACAGTGGCAGAGCTGTAACTTTTTTTCTTTTTTTTCTTTCTTTTTTTTTGGGGGGGGGATAGACTCTCACTCTCGCCCAGGCTAGAGTGCAGACACACAATCTCAGCTCACTGCCACCTCTGCCTCCTGGGTTCAAGCGATCCTCCTGCCTCAGCCTCCTGAGTAGCTGGGTTTACAGGCGTGTGCCACCATGCCCAGCTAATTTTTGTATTTTTAGTAGAGACAGGGTTTCGCCATCTTGACCAGGCTGGTCTCGAACTCCCGACCTCAGATGATCTGCCCACCTCGGCCTCCCAAAGTGCTGGGATTACAGACATGAGCCACT
The DNA here is from genome assembly GCF_000001405.40 of Homo sapiens. NCBI lineage: Eukaryota > Metazoa > Chordata > Mammalia > Primates > Hominidae > Homo > Homo sapiens. The sequence continues at coordinate 235,771 of NW_014040926.1, forward strand.
GCACCTGGCCCAGAGTTACAATTTAAATCCAGGACTAGCCAAATCCAGGGCCAATGTTCTTTCCCCATCTCTAAGCTGCCCCACAAAGTTAGGGGGCACAGCTTATTTGATCTTGGGACTGGATCTGCCTCCAAACCTAAATCCCAATTCTACCACCTCTACCATATTCCCTCACCATCCCCTCAGGCTTAGGAAAGGGAGAAGGCAGGGCACAGAGGGAGATCTGTCCAAGGAAAACAAGGTTGACAGCAATGGTGAGGCCCCGAATACAAACACTGTAAAGGATGTCCTACTGAAAAGAAAACGGATTTGTTCAGGCTGGCCTCAGAGAGGATTCCCAGGACTGAGAGGTGGAAGTTAGGGAGGCAGAAACAGACTTCAGCTCAAACAGGGGACATTTCTAAGGAAGAACAGGCCACCCCTGAAGGCAGTGAGCTCCCTGTCACTTGAAGTATTCAAATACTTTAGGTGCTAGAGAGTGATTCAGACACTGGATTTTGGATTAGAATGGACAGCTATTTAGATTTCATTCAAAGCTAAGAGTCAATGGATCCATGCAAGAGCCTGGCAGGCACTGGGCAAAGGTGGCTGAAACACATCTTAGTGTAAGAGACACGTCTGAGCTTGGAAAGCCCACTGGAGTCCTTTGGGCAGCCTACCCTGGCTGGCCCTAAACAAGGCCTAAATTCCAGCTGCTGGCACTGCCCTTTGTGTCCCCTACCCTGATCCCAACATACACACACACCATGCTCTGGCTCTCTGGTTTGTGTTCTCTGCAGGCAAAAGACCACAGATGGCAGCACTAGGCCATGCCCAGCTGCCCTGCCTAGAAGGGCCTTCTGCATGCCCCCTTCTGGGTCAGGATTCATCAATAGGACCCATTCTTCATTCCCATGGTTTCTCAGAGCCAGCTGTGGTTACCAAGGCAACTCAAGCCAAGGGGGCAGAGCTGCTAGAGCTAAGGCCTTGGGAGATACAGATTACATTTCACCATTAGACATTCATTCCTTTGGACCATTATAATATAGTACATAGTTATCACTTCTGTGTCATCCCATGACCATTACAGCCATTATTATTATTATTATTATTTTGAGATGAAATCTCGCTCTGTAGCCCAGGCTGGAGTGCAGTGGTGTGATCTCAGTTCACCGCAACCTCCGCCTCCCAGGTTCAAGCAATTATCCTGCCTCAGCCTCCAGAGTAGCTGGGATTACAGGCATGCGCCACTGCACCTGGCTAATTTTCTGTAGTAGAGACAGGGGTTTCACCATGTTGGCCAGGCTGGTCTTGAACTCCTGACCTCAGGTAATCCGCCCGCCTCAGCCTCCCAAAGTGCTAGGACTACAGGCGTGAGCCACCTCACCCGGCCCATTACAGCCATTATTATTATTATTATTATTATTATTATTACTATTTTTGAAATGGAGTCTTGCTCTGTTGCCTAGGCTGAAGTGCTGAAGTGCAGTGGCGTGATCTCGGCTCACTGCAAGCTCCACCTCCTGGGTTCATGCCATTCTCCTGCCTCAGCCTCCCAAGTAGCTGGGACTACAGGCGTGAGCCACCACGCCTGGCCCATTATAGCCATTATTAATCGATCACAGTGTTTTCCCCACTGACTGTGGATTTGGTTCATCATTCTGTTAAGATATGATGGTAGCCTCTACCAATTAAACTAGAGTTGGCAGAGGAGATGAAAAACATTTTCTATCTTTGCTTTGGACTATGGTGTTGTTCCTTAAGAGACGAAGTCACAGAATATTAGAGATTATCTAACATTACCTCCTCATTTTACAGACTGCAAAATAAAGGCTCAGGTGAGTTTCTTGCCCCAGGTTTCACTGGAAATGCAAACAAACTAAGAAACAAATACAAACTAGGTCGGCGTGGTGGCTCACGCCTGTAATCCCAGCACTTTGGGAGGCAGAGGGAGGTGGATCACGAGGTCAGGAGTTCAAGACCACCCTGGTCAAGAGGGTGAAACTCCGTCTCTACTAAAAATACAAAAAAAATTAGCTGGGTGTGGTGGCAGGTGCCTGTAGTCCCGGCTACTCAGGAGGCTGAGGCAGAGAACTGCTTGAACCCGGGAGGCAGAGGTTGCAGTGAGCCGAGATCACGCCACTGCACTCTAGCCTGGGTGACAGAGTGAGACTCCGTCTCAAAAAAAAAAAAAAAAAGAAAAAGAAAAAAAAAATACAACCTAAAACTTGTATAGAGCTTTACAGTTTGTAAGGGAGTTTGACACCCACCATTTCAGACACACAGCATCTTAATGGGGCAGTCATCATTTTTGTTCCCATCTGGCTGATGAGTCAGCGAGGCACAGAACAGTGAAGATCATTGCCTGAGCTCACACAGCCAAAATGTGGACCTGGGAACTAAACCGTTAAGACTCTAACTCCCTTGTTCATTTCCAGGCAATGGACCCAGACCCTGAAGGTCCATGGTGTTACTAGCAGGACACTGTGAAGCCACACTCATCATGAGCACTACTGACGAGTATAAAAATGTTTCACAAATTAGTCTGACCACATTCCAAATATGTGCAACTCTATGATCAATAAGACACAGAACCCTTTAAAAGCATTCTTGAATTCATTTGTTCTTTCCCATATTTTTCAATCAATCAATACTAACAGTATACGTGATGTGGGAAGATCAATGAAACTCCAACGCTAAAAAGGAGTTTTCCTGTGGGATGGCTGAATCCTGGCTCTTTGGTCTCTGACGCCAGTGTCCACAAAGATGATTAAATTATATGTACTACATATTAAACATGATGCTAAAAATACAACGTTTGGCAGGGTGCGGTGGCTCACGCCTGTAATCCCAGCACTTTGGGAGGCTGAGGTGGGAGGATCACGAGGTCAGGAGTTTGAGACCATCCTTTAGTTGAGATAGGGTGAAACCCTATCTCTACTAAAAATACAAAAATTAGCCGGGTGTGGTGGCTAATTTTTGTAGTCCCAGCTACTTGGGAGGCTGAGGCGAATCACTTGAATCCAGGAGGTGGGGGTTGTAGTGAGCCGAGATCACACCACTGCACTCCAGCCTGGGTGACAGAGTGAGACTCCATCTCAAAAAAAAAAAAAAAAAAAAAGTACAATACCTGAATGAGCAAACCAAGTTACACTTAAAATATTTAACAAAATGATAAAGTACAAAAAAAAAAACAAAAAAAACCCAGGGCTTCTCACTTCTAGATCCAATTACCAATTTACAGAAAATGCAGGTCAGGTGTTGTGGCTCCTGCCTGTAATCCCAGCACTTTGGGAGGCCCAAGTGGGTGGATTGCTTGAGCCCAGAAGTTTGAGACCAGCCTGGGCAACATGGCGAAACCCTGTCTCTACAAAAAATACAAAACAATTTTCCAGGCATGGTGGCACACACCTGTAGTCCCAGCCACTTGGGAAGCTAAGGTAGGGTATCACTTGAGCCCAGGAGTCCAAGGCTGCAGTGAGCTCTGATTGCACCACTGCACTCCAGCCTGAGCAACAGAGCGAGACCCTATCTCAAAAATAATAATAACAATAATAATAAATAAAATAAACTCAAACCCAGGCAGTTGGGCTCCAGAGTCCATGCTTTTAACCAAACCTCTAGGTTTTATTCTATAAGTGATGGGGTGCTCCTGAAGGGTTCTGAACAGGGCAGTTACTTGGTAATTCTCAACATAGAAAGTTTAACTCCAGGGCTGGGCTGCAGATCCATGTTCAAGCGGGACAAAGAGGGTTCAGCCTTGTCCCCCAGGCATGACAGGGTGATAGGAACACAGCCAGGCCCTGGCCCGGAGCAGATCACCCAACAGGAAGGACTCCCATTCCAAGCTCCCAGCTTGAGTCTATTATTAGCATGAATTCAACTACCTATCGCCCCACTAACTGACTGCTCACTTTGGGGCAGGCATTTTATGTTTGTTACCTGGCCTATTCCTCCCAACAACTCTGTGAGGTAGTTATTATCCTCCCCATCTTACAGATGAAGAAACTGAGGCTGGGGTAGGTTAGGCAGTTTGCTCAAGGTCATGTAGGAAGTTCTAAGAAACGCAGAGACCTCTGCCTCCAGAGCCCTTTCTTGCTATCACACTAAAGCAAACTACGAGCTAAATCTTCTCTCTCTGAGCCCCAGTTATCTCTGTAAGGATTGCTGTGAAAAGAAATTGAGGTAATGTTTTTTCTAATGGTGGAAGCCAGGCATCTTCAGAGGTGCTGCAGAAACATTCTGAGAGAATGGCCTTCTACTGCATATAGAACAAGGCCATGAGACCAAGAGCCCTGAACTGGAAAGTGCTGAATTTTAGGGCTGTCTCTGCCATTAAGCCCTCAGTGTGCCTCTGAGCGAGTTCCTTCCTCCTTCTATGCCTCAGTTTCCTCATCTGTCCAATTTTGAGCTAACAGACACGAGCTCTAAATCCCCTTCCAGGCCAAAGCGCTAGGACACAGTTGAGGTTAGTCATACCCTACAAGGCTGCTCCAACCTCAGCCACCAGCAAGAGTGAGCCAAAGACTCCAAATGGTTTTCCTCTGGATCAGCCCCCACCCCCAGCACCTGAGAGTCCAGGCTGGGGCAGAAGGGGGTGCCAGAGGAGGGCAGTGCTCTTCCCAGCTACCCCTCTGCCTCATCCATACCAAGGTGGCCCTTGGCCCTGCTTGCCACCCCACAGCCCCTACGGTGGCTACACTGCAAGGCCTGGGAGCCAGGACCCAGGGCCAGCCCCAGCCCTGCCCCTGTCTCGCGGTGTGACCTGGCCAGTCTCCTTCCCACCCTGAGCCTCTGACTCCTCTTCTGGAATGAAGGGTTTGGGTGGTGACAGGGAAGGCTCCTGTATGCTCTGACATTTATTATTTCAGGATCCCCTGGCCTCTTGCTGTTTTCCTTCCTGCACTGCTGGGGCCTGTGACTGGCCGTGCGCCCCTTGGTCAGGCCTCTGCAGACGTCTTCCCAGCCTGGGCACTTGTCCAGCCTCACCAGCTCAGCCTTACCGGCTGTCCCTTGTGGGGTGGTGGGAAGCAGGGAGGAAGAGGGGTTGCAAGAAGGGAGCCACACCCTCGATGTATGCTGAGGCCTCTGCAAACCCCAAGTTTCCTGGCTGGGATTTTCCTCAGGAGATTGCTTGGCGGTGATGAGCTAAGAGAACAAGAACTTTGCTGGACTAACCGCGGAAGGTTCCTCCTACCCGACCCCTGGCCTCAAGCCCTGAATTCCACCCAATCCTGGGGAAGAACCTGGCCTGCCCTCTTGGACAGAGCAGCAAACAGTACTTCCCACCTTCTGGGTTCCCTTGTTGGCCAGGATGAATCCCTCCCTGCCCCCCACTTGGGCTTGCTATCCATCACTGGTCCCTTAAAACCATCCCTATTGAACTCTTGGCAATTTCCTAAATATGCCAAACTGTTTCCAGCCATCAGACCTTTGCTCATGCTGCTCCCTCTGCCTGGAGGGCCCTTGCCCCATTCTGTCTAGTAAACACTTCATCTTTCCCGACTCAACTTACAGGTCACCCCCTCCCCACCACAACAGAACTGATCCTGCCTACCTTTATTCCATCCTATGCCCACTACAGGCTTTCATTAGAGTATCCTGGCCCTTATTTGCCATACATGTCTGATCTCTACGGGGCTGAAAACTCCAGAAAGGCAGGGAATGGCTCATTTACCTTTGTATCTGCAGCACTCAACACAAAACTCAGGATGTGGGTGTTAATAAGCATGTGTGGAATGAATGAATGATTAAATGTATGAATACATACTAGCAAGGCCCAGTGGCAATATAGAAAAGACAGCAAGGGTTAAGGACTCCGGCTTTCAAGTCATACTGTCCTAAAGTCCAAATTCTGGTTCCAGTCCTCTTAGCTGTGTGACCTGAGGCAAGTGACACAGCTTCTCTGATAGATGTTCCCCATCTGTCAAATGGCATAATAACAGCATCTATCTAATCAGACTGAACTCAGTCAGGCATTTAAGCACGTGGCCCAGCATAATACACACAGAAAGGGCTTCATGGTAGCTATTCCTGCCCAGCAGACACCTTCTCTGTATCCAAATAACTGGACAGGCCCTGTGTTATGATGTGCTAATATCTGAAAAGTGCTTACAACACTGCCTGGTGTGTTTGTTTTTCCTATTTTTATTGCTTTTTAACACAACCCAGACAACACGGATGAACCTTGAAAACACTGTGCAACTGAAAGAGATCAGACAAAAAAGGCCACATATAGTAGGATTTCATTCACATGAACTGTCCAGAATAGGTAAAGCCATAGAGATGGAAAGTTGTCGGGGGCCGGGGAAAAGGAGTGGAGAGTAACTACTAATCAATACAGGGTTTCTTTTTGGGATGATGGAAATGTTCTGGAATTACATAGTGGTGATGACTACACAACACTGTGAATATACTTAAGGCCACTGAATTGTACATTTTAAAATGGTGAGTTTTATGTTATGTGAATTTTACCTGAATGAGAGGAAATCTACCTAAAAGCAACCTAAGGGATTGTAGGGTGCAGCCAGGACTGAGAACTGCTAGGTAGCCTCTCAGCAAATGTTTTGTTTTGTTTTCGTAGAGACAGGGTCTTGCTTTGTTGTTTGAGACCAGGGTGGTCTCAAACTCCTGGCTTCAAGTGATCCTCCCACCTTGGCGTCCCACAGTGCTGGGATTACGGGTATGAGCCACCACACTGGCCTCAGCAAATGTTTGACAAAGAAATGAACAGGAGGCAGAGAGCAAAGGGCAGAGCTGAGGGAAGACCCTGCCTTGTCCAAAATCAGGCTTAGCTGTTCATTCCCCAAAACCTCCAAGGTACATAAGGTTTCTCTTTTTGCTCTGGTGCCAGGACCGCACAGATAATCTCAACACTCACTCATGGTAATTACCTCATCCCTATTGCAATTACTTTCCTCTTTTCTCTGTATGTTTCCTGATCTTTTTAACTACCCTATGTGCAGGTGTACTTGTGTTTACAGTAAGAGGGAATTTTAAAAAATTACTAAGTACCTGTTACGTGCTAGGTTCATGCTTGCTAGATTTTCTATGTGTTATCCCCTCAAACAAACCCATAAGACAATTATCTTCATCCCTAATTCACAGATCAGAAAACTGAGATTCAGAAAGGTTAAGTCATTTGCCCAAAGTCACACAGCCAATAGGAATTCAAACCCAAGTCTGTCTGACTTTAGTTACTGGACTCTCGCCACAGACCTCAGCCACATCCCTGTATGCTACAGGTTGTCAATCAACTTTTCACTGGCAGAGTCCTCCCACCCAGAAGGAGACCTTGTCTAGTTCTCTCCGTGCCCTCAGAGCCTGCCTTTGTACACCACAGGCATTCAGTAAATATGGCTTAATGGATTACTAACCTTCAGTGGGCATGCAATAGCTTACCACAATAGTTTTCACCCCAACTGCTCATCAGTTACCTGGGAACTTCTGAACTGCACACTTGCCCAGGCCTCGCCCCTGGGAGATTCTGATTCAGTGGGTCTGGGTGTAGCCCGCAGCAGCTGAGATTCTTAAAAGCTCTTTCAAGGTCTAAAACCAGTCAAGTTAGAGAACCTTCAGCAGCTGTTCCCAGCTCAGCCTCCCATGCCCTCCAAAGCACCTCCTGTGACGTTGGTGAGGTGGAATCAGTTTTTCCAGGGCCCTGACCTAGAGTCACAGAAGCCACTCACTGTTCCCCTGTGGGTCTCACTCCCTCATCTGCCCTGGGCCCAAGTTCTAGGCCCATCGAAGGGACCTTCTAGCAGCATCTTGTCTGAGAATGATATGATCAAATTGCCTTCAGGGAAAGCATGTTCCTTCTGCTCTGACCTAAAGTTACAGTTTCTGCCTCCAAATCTGCCTGAGTCATCTGTCTCCTTGTACCTCAGTGGCCAGAAACAGCTGAACACTAGGCAAGGAAGTGAGCACAAAAAAAGACAAATTTGGGGAGAGAAGGAGACTTTGAGAGACAGGCTCAAGGTTGACAACTCTGGGAAGACCCTCGGCCCCCTGTGCAGAGGCTGTTGGTAGGGAGGAGGCTGGTTCAGTGGAGTTGGGTCCCCAGTCCATCCTAGAAAACCCTGCTGATCCCAGGGCCCTAGCCACACCCTATGTCTCTGCTCCCCTTCTAGGGAGAACTTCTCATCTGCCCCCTCCTCAAATCAGTCCAGGATGGTGTGGAGGCGAAAATGGCATTAAATCTGCTCTTTTTTTTTTTTTTTTTTTTTTTTGAGATGGAGCCTTGCTGTGTCTGCAGTGGCACAATCTCGGCTCACTGAAACATCCACCTCCCGGGTTCAAGCAATTCTCCTGCCTCAGCCTCCTGAGTAGCTGGGATTACAGGTGCCTGCCACCATGGCTGGCTAATTTTTGTATTTTTAGTAGAGATGGGGTTTTGCCATGTTGGCCAGGCTGGTCTCGAACTCCTGACCTCAGGTGATCCACCCGCCTTAGTCCCCCAAACTGCTGGGATTACAGGCGTGAGCCATAAATCTGCTCTTAAGGTTCCCAATGACCTCCGTGTTGCCAAAGCCAGAGGCTGTGTCTCTGTCATTGTCTTATTTTACCTCTGGGCATCTGGGCAGCATCTAACAGAGCCGAGCACCCCTTCTCCTCGGAACACTTCTCTCCTGGCTTCTGAGGCACAACACTGTCTTATTTCCTTCCTTCCCCACTGACAGCCCGTTCTTGGTCTCCTTTATTAATTCCTCTTCCTATCCCAATCTCTTGATACCGAGGGTCCCCAGGGCTTGGGTCTGGGCCTTCTTCGTTCCTCTCTCTAGGTGATCTTGTCCATTCCACAGCTTTATTTATTTATTTATTTTTATTTTTTTGAGACATAGTCTTGCCCTTTCACCCAGGCTGGAGTGCAGTGGCGCAATCTCGGCTCACTGCAACCTCCACCTCCCGGGTTCAAGCGATTCTCCTGCCTCAGCCTCCGAATAGCTGGGACTACAGGTGCGTGCCACCACGCCCGGCTAATTTTTTGCATTTTTAGTGAGACGGGGTTTCGCCATGTTGGCCAGGCTGGTCTCAAACTCCTGACCTCAAGTGGTCCCCCTGCCTCAGCCTCCCAAAGTGCTGGGATTACGGGTGTGGGCCACCGCGCCCAGCCCCCACAGCTTTAAGTACCAGTTCAAGCAATGGATGCAAATGTGGTTCAGGCAGCACCTGCATGGGAATTTCCAGGGTGCTGGTTTAAATGCAGATTCCCAGACAATCCCACAAGCTGGCAAACTTGCTGTCAAGTACATCTGTCATTGTGTGCCAGTCTGGCATCTGACCTCCTTCCTATGTCTGGGGACTTCCTCACTGCACAGGTCTTGGCAGAGTTCACCTCCTGTGAAAGCTGAAAACAACAAATTCTTGCTTTTCCAGCCTCCCTTACACCTAAGCTCAACCAATCAGAAGCCCTCACTACAGACTTTGAATCAGGAGCACAGTGGAAGATCCATTCCAATGCTGGTGGCAACCACAGCAATGGTGTCTAGTGTTCAGGGAACAGTGACACAGCGATGGCATTTAGTGTGTGGCAGCAGTGTCCTGCCAAACTGGCTCGGTGGCATGATTTTGGCTGAGATCCTGCCTGCTGCCCAGCCCCAGTTTTCCAACTTCCCAGAAATTCTGTGAACTACTGAACATTCCCTTTCAGTGCAGCCCTTTTCTGCTTAAATCAGCTCAGGATGGTTTCTCTTGCTTGCCATAAAAAGCCTAAGATACCACCACTGAATCATACTCTCTGGGAATGACGCCAAGTGATTCTGACACAGATGCAGGTTTGAAACCCACGGTCTCGATGCTAACAGCTCTCAAATGTGTATCTCCAGCCCGCTCCTTTGAATTCCAAACTCACATACTGCCTTCTTGACATCTCCACTTGGATGTCTCAAGACCTATAAAGATATACAGATAGAATTCTTGGCCAGGCACAAGTGGCTCATGCTTGTAACCCTAACATTTTGGGAGGCCAAGGCAAGAGGATCACTTAAGCCCAAGAGTTTGAAACCAGCCTAGGCAACACAGCGAGACCTCATCTTTACCAAGAGAAGAAACAAATTAGCATGGATGTGGTGGCATGTGCCTGTGGAAGCACGAGGATTGCTTAAGCCCAGGAATTCAAGGCTGTGGTGAGCTATGACTGCACCACTGCATTCCAGCCTGGGCAAAAGAAGGAGACCCTGTCTCTAAAAAACAAAAAATTAAAAAAAAAAATAGAATTCTTGATTTCTCCCCAAACCTGTTCCCCTGCCAGATTTCCCCTTCTCGGTATATGGCACCCTTCCATCAGAAATTTAAGGCCGGGCACAGTGGCTCACACTTGTAATCTCAGCACTTTGGGAGGCTGAGGCGGGCAGATCATTTGAGGTCAGGAGTTTGAGAACAGCCTGGCCAACATGGTGAAACCTCATGTCTATTAAAAATACAAAAATTAGCTGGGTGTGGTAGCGGGCGCCTGTAGCCCCAGGTACTTGGGAGGCTGAGGCAGGAGAATCGCTTGAACCCGGGAGGTGGAGGTTGCAGTAAGCCGAGATGGTGCCACTGAACTCCAGCCTGGGCAATACAGTGAGACTCCATCCCAATCAAACAAAAAAAAAAAAGAAAAAAAGAAATGTGGGACACAATCTTGAGCACTGCCCACATGTACTCCATCGACAAATCTTGACTGCTTATAAAACACTTCTACAATCTGTGCACTTCTCTCCTCCTCCACCAACCACAACCCGATCCACACCACCATCATCTCTTCCCTAAATAACAGAATGGCCTCCTTGGGTCCTCTCCTGGCCCTTCCAATCTAGTTTCCATACAGCAACTGATATGATCTTTCTAAAATACAAACTGGATTATGCTGCTTGCCTGTGTACTAAATAAAACTTAAACTCACTACCAGGGCCATCAAACTTGAATATGGCCTTGCCACCACCACCCAAACTCAGCAGGTGCCACTCTTCCCTTTGCCCATCTCAGTGCTTTTGCCCCTTGGGCCCCCTTTCAGGGTCACATATATTTCAGCTTCTTTACTGCCTCAGGACCTTTGCCTAAGAGGTCCCCTCCATCTGGAGCACCCCCATACCATTATTCTCTATGAATGCTCCTTTTTAGTTTTTTTTTTTCTTTCATTTATTTGTTATTCAACCAACATTTTCTGAAAACACACTATGGTTCTATGGTAAATACTAGGGACACAACAGTGAGATTAGTTTCTATTCTCATAGAAGTCAAAATCTATTGACAAATTAGATCTTAATAAAATAATATTTTGTCGGGGGACAGAGTCTTGCTCTGTCGCCCAGGCTGGAGTACAATGGCGTGACCTGGGCTCACTGCAACCTCCACCTCCCGGGTTCAAGCAATTCTCGTGCCTCAGCCTCCCAAGTAGCTGGGATTACAGGCACGTGCCACCATACCCAGCTAATTTTTGTATTTTTAGGAGAGACAGGGTTTCGCCACGTTGGCCAGGCTGGTCTCGAACTCCTGACCTCCAGTGATCCATCTGCCTTGGGGAGGCTGAGGCAGGAGAATCACTTGAACCCAGGAGACAGAGGTTGCAGTGAGCCGAGATCACGCCACTGCACTCCAGCCTGAGCAACAGAGTGAGACTCCATCTCAAAAAAAAAAAAAAAAAAAAAAGAAGATGTTCCTTGGTGATGAGGGGCACACGTGGAGGTGAGAGGTCGCACCACTCATTGTGAAAACAGCTCTGGAAGGGAGCCTGAGGGAAGTTAGGAGTGTGGTCAAGTATGCACTGGGACATGAGGATCTAGGCTACAGGTACAAATGTGTGAGTCACCTGGAGATGGGAGGTAACTAAGGCCACACGTGTGGACAAGATTCCCTGAAGAGATGAGGACCCAGAACAAACCTCAAAGAAGGCCTTGACGAGGAGGATGAGTCTTCGTGCCACTTAGTACAATGAGCAACTTCTGACTTATTTGTTCTTTCTGTTTGTTTTGTTTTGTTTTGGAGACAGGGTCTTGCTCTATCACCTAGGCTAGCATGCAGTGGCACCATCGGAGTTCACTGCAGCCTCAATCTCCTGGGCTCAAGTGATCCTCTCACCTCGGCCTCCCAAAGTGCTGGCATTCAGGCATAAGCCACTGCACCCGGCTGTGACTTATTTGTTTACCTGCTTACTGTTGGGCTTTGCCAGAAGACTGTAAGGTCCACAGGGCAGGGACTGCATCTCTAACTGAGCGATGCATCTGCCCAGTGCCTCATACAGGGCCTGGCATGGAGCAGTCCCCCAGGCACTATGCTGGCAGGGCCAACCCCATCCATTCCTTGAGCAACATGATTGGGTCCACTGGTCCACACCGCCCAACAAAAAGTCAGAATGCTCAATTGGCATTCAAAACCCTCCAAGTCTTGCTGCACCCCCTTAGCATTCTAATCTCATCTTTTAAATCTTTTAAACTGCTGGGCACAGTGGCTCACGCCTGTAATCCCAGCACTTTGGGAAGCCGAGGTGGGTGGATCACCTGAGGTCAGGAGTTTGAGACAAGCCTGGCCAACATGGCAAAACCCCATCTCTACTGAAAATACAAAAATTAGCCAGGCATGGTGGCGGGCGCCTGTAATCCCAGCTACTCGGGAGGCTGAGGCAGGAGAATCGCTTGAACCTGGGAAGTGGAGGTTGCAGTGAGCCCAGATCGTGCCGTTGCACTCCAGCCTGGGTGACAAGAGTGAAACTCTATCTTAAAAAAAAACTCCAGCCAGGTGCAGTGGCTCATGCCTGTAATGCCAGCACTTTGAGAGGACGAGGCGGGTGGATCACGAGGTCAGGAGAACAAGACCATCCTGGCTAACACGGTGAAACCCTGTCTCTACTAGAAATACAAAAAATTATCCGGGCGTGGTGGTGGGCACCTGTAGTCCCAGCTACTCGGGAAGTTGAGGCAGAAGAATGGCGTGAACCTGGGAGGTGGAGGTCACAGTGAGCTGAGATCGTGCCACTGCACTCCAGCCTGCATGACAGAGTGAGACTCTGTCTCAAAAAAAAAATAAAAAATAAAAAATGAAAAAACTCCTATACCTGAGTTTTCTAAAGGGGTTCTTCTATACCTGAGAGTATGCATAAATGATCTAAACCAGGGAGGTACAGAACAGGATGGACACAGCACCTCTCCCTGGAACCTGGACTGTGTGAAATAAAGAGGAATCGCCATAGATACTTCTGAGGGGATTTTCCAGGCCCTGCCCCTCTTCTCTGAGAAGCGCCCCCTCCCACACCATAGGTCTCAATGGCCATGTTTACCCTGCCGGTCACTTTCCCTCCATGACCTCTGCTGATGAAACCAGGGGTGGAGACCCAGCCACTGGACCCAATCCAGAAACTGGGCCGGGCTGTCAACCTCTGCCAGGAACTTGGAAGTGGGACATGAGACTGGCTCAATCTAGTGTCCGGTTACCTTTAGACACTGGCCCAGTGAGGTCATGTGAGCATGGGGGCTGTGCTTTGGGGCCTATGTGATGATGAATGAGCGAAAGCACTGATCAGATGTGCAGAGGGAAGCAGAGGCAGGAGAGAACAAGAATGACGAAGCAGCTGCCTTAGTTCCTGACAACTTCCCAGCCTCCAGTTCCAGGCCCTGGAGAGGTGTACTTTTACCTCCGGCTCTTCAGTCTCATGAGGCACCTCTAATTCTTTAAAGCCAATTTCCCTCAATATTCTTCTCTGACGATCAAAAAACAAACAAACAAATTTCCCTCCAACAGAAACAAGCTTGACAGGGTTTATGTTTCTTGCAAACAATCTCTAAGATTACACAATTTTTACACTAAAATACATTTTACAAAGCAAACTGTAAAATTCACAAGAATATTAAAAATTAAGAAGGAAATCCTTTCTAAAACAAGATTCAAAAAAGCAAAAGTCACAAAGGAAAAGAAAAATGTAACTCCAAAACAATTTAAACTGTGCATTATAAGACCTGATACCAATTTAGGTAAACATTCCCCCAGCCACTCCCATTCCCCCACTGATAATATATTTTCCATGAGGAGATACATTGGGAAGCATGTACATTTCCATAGCAATTACCTCTGGGGAGAATACAGGGATTGAGATAGTTGTTCATAGGCCTTTTCTGTTATGTTTTAAATTACTTATTACAAATTATGCCCTGGCCGAGCATAGTGGCTCACGCCTGTAATCCTAACATTTTTGGAGGCTGAGGTGGGCAGATCACTTGAGCCCAGGAGTTCAAGACCAGCCGGGCAACATAGTGAAACCCCAACCCTACAAAAAATACAAAAATTAAGCCGGCGCCAGTAATCCTAGCTACTCAGGAGGCTGAGGTGGGAAAATCACCTGAGCCCAGGAGGTTGAGGCTGTGGTGAGCCATGATTGTGCCACTGTACTCTAGCCTGGGTGACAGAGTGAGACCCTGTCTCAAAAAATAAAATAATAATAAATTATGCCACTTGTCCAATTAAAACTTTCTTTTAAAATTTCAAAAATATATACAAAACAAGCCTTTGAAGATCTCCTATTTGTGGCAGACTGCTTCATCTGAGACCTACTGGAGGGGGTGTGTCCACTAGCAGTTTGAGGCACACAATATAGTATGAATTCTTAGCTCTGGTCAAAATGGCTTACTTGGTTCCCAATATGCTCTCTTCCCACCAGTCTCTGAATTCACTCCCTTGTCCTCTCCGATAAATGGGGTTCATCTATCCTTCCACCTGGAAGTGTCACCTCCTCCAGGAACTTCTCCCTCATTGCACCAGTCCTTACTGCTCTCTCCCTCTCCTGCTCCACTTGCCTCTTATGGCATTGACTGTACCTTTCTCTGGGGACTCAGGACAAACTCCTGGGGTTCTTACTGATCTCCCTGTAACAGGCTACTTCTCCCTAGTCAGTCAGCAAATCAAAGTAGCATCTTTATGTCCTTAGTGTCCTTTATGTCCATAGAGATGGCACAGAGAGCTGGACAGAGCCCAGGCAGAGCACAGCAGAGTCAGAGAGACCCACTGTGTGACACAGGGCAGCTGCCTCCACTGCCCTAGGCCCGGTTTCACCTGTTGTTGTGAATATCAATGAGATGATGGGCATAAAGGGGCCCAAGACAGGAAGAGGCTGGTTGACGTAATGACTATCTTAATATACTCCCTCACATTTGCATGGTGCTTCATAATTGAACACAAAAAACTTTAACAACCCAGTAAGGTAAGCAGGGAGTGATTAAGAGATCCATTTTAAGGATAAAATAACAAGGTTCAGAGAAGTTACGTAGGGAGGACAGACAGATGGACTTTAAAAGGAAAGAGAACAGGACCGGGGGTAGAACACGTGGGTAGAAATGCTAACTTTCCCACTATCCAGCCGCAGGAGCTTGGCCAAGTCTCTTGGCCTCTCTGGACATCAGTTACTCCATCTTATCTGAGAGAGTTTCTAGCTGGTCTCTATCTTAAAAGGGTCCCTCAGCCCTGACATTCTAGTTTCCTGTGATCTGCCCAGGGTCCTTCCCAGCAGGACTGTACAAAAGGGCTGCGAGTCCCAGGACAGGGTCCCTAGTTACTCCCAGGAAACCAGTCAGAACTGGAAGACTTGACTTAAGAATCAGTTGCATTTTGATTCAGTCAAATAGAGCTACAAGCCTGGGGGTGGGTTAGTCAAGCCCAGAACTGGGGGAAAAAATTGCAGCATCAAACTATATGTAAACACAATATAATCGCAAAATATAAATGCAAATGCAAAACCAAACAGGAAACCTCAGGGAAGTCTAATCCAAAGTTCAGACTCTAACTTTTTGGGCCCTGAGATGCTGAAGAGAAAAGCTGTGTTTGGGTGCCGCAAGCCTTTCTGTTGTAACAATGAACCTCTACGTGCACCAAACCAAAAATCTGAAGGCAAAGGAGGATGGGTTTTGTCTTGCCTGAACTGGGGCAAAGCTGAGCCCTGAACAGAGCCTGCTGTGGCCTCCAGACCCATTCTAAGGGTCCCTCCCCCAACACACAGTGCTTACACTTACACAGCCAGGCAAGGCCAGATGTATGGGCATAAATGGGCATTTCTGTCCATGGATAAGGTTCATATTGGAGCCCCTTCTCCTGCTCTAAGATTCTAATGAACAACCTGGGGAGGAGGATGAACCATGAAATCCCTAAGAATGTGGATGGCACTGAGCTATTCTGGGTCATGAAATGTGAGGCTATGAAGACAAATCTCAGGAAGCTCTCCAAAGGATGGGCTGGACAGCAGTGTTTCCCTGTGAGCCCCACAGTAAAATATAACCCACATCCACAGGCAGTGGACTCTGCCCAAGGAAGGAAGCCAAATCTGACCGGCTGCTTCTTATTTTAATAAAACATGTACCCCTACTATGTGCAAAGTAGTAGGCTAGGCTCCGTGAGACAAATGAGACAAGGTGAGGCTCTGTGAGACAAATGAAGACAAAAGAGACCCAATCACTGTCTAAAGAGATCTGCCGATTAATCTGACGATAATCATTCCATTTATCAAGAGGCATGGGCCAGTGCAGCGGCTCACACCTATAATCCTAGTACTTTGAGAGGCCAAGGCGGATAGACTGCCTGAGCTCAGGAGTTCAAGAACAGCCTGACCAACATGGTGAAACCCTGTCTCTACTAAAAATACAAATATTAGCCGGGTGTGGTGGAGCATGCCTGTAATTCCAGCTGCTTGGGAGGCTGAGGAATGAGAATTGCTTGAACCCGGGAGGCAGAGATTGCAGTCAGCTGAGATCGCACCACTGTACTCCAGCCTGGGAGACAGAGCAAGACTCTGTCTCCAAAAAAAAGATGCATGCTTTATATGCATTGTCTCATGTGAGGTACACATTATTACCCCCATTCCACAGATGACAGGACAGGTCACATGCCCACGTTCACCCAAATGGCAAACTGCAGAGCCAGCGTTTGAAAAAAGGTCTGCCTTGGCCGGCGCGGTGGCTCACGCCTGTAATCCCAGCACTTTGGGAGGCCGAGACGGGCGGATCATGAGGTCAGGAGATCGAGACCATCCTGGCTAACACGGTGAAACCCCGTCTCTACTAAAAATACAAAAAAAAAATTAGCCAGGCGTAGTGGCGGGAGCCTGTAGTCCCAGCTACTCGGGAGGCTGAGGCAGGAGAATGGTGTGAACCTGGGAGGCGGAGTTTGCATTGAGCCAAGATCGCGTCACTGCACTCCAGCCTGGGCGACACAGCGAGACTCCGTCTCAAAAAAAAAAAAGGAAAGAAAAAAGGTCTGCCTTCCCCAAAGTCGATGCTCCTTCCACAATCCTCTATCACCCTTACAAAGTGATACAAACAGACTCCGAGATGGAGGGTCACCCTGACAAGAGAGAAGAGGACAGATTTCCTGACACTGGCGCAGGGTGTTATGAACTACTGAGCTTTGTATCTGCCACGCAGTGGGTGCCTAGTACACTTAAGGTGAAGGGTGGAAGGCTAGAGCCGTTGCTGAGGTCCAAAATGCCACCCAAATTGAGGGCATCCTTTGGATGGGGAGCTGCAAAAACACATTATTCTCCGTTGGACCAAGGCCACGGGGTGTCTGTCCTAGAATATTCTTTGCAGAGGAGCTGCGGAAAGCTGCAGCAGGTTCAGAGAAGAGGAATGGAAGGAACTCCGAAGAGCATGGGAATGGGGTGGGGCAGCCTGCAAGACCGAAAGAAAAGGCCTGGGACGCTTTGCTGGGAAAGACAAAGAGGAGAGGGGAGGGGAGAGGAGACGATAAACTTGCCAACAGCCCGGCCAAGGTGAACCCCGGCTCCTGGCGCCTTCCCATCCGCATTCATTCCACAAACGCGGGCCAAATCTCCGAACCAGCCGCAAGCGGGAGGGGGCCTCTCTGCAGCCGGGGGGAAGAAAGTTCAGGACTGAGGCGGGAAGCCTGCCTCTCAGAAGGGGAGTGACTCGGGGGGCACACTTGTGGGGCTCCGAAGATGAAAACGCAAACTGAGGCTGGAAGGCGCTAGGCAAACACATATGTGATGAGGCGGTCACGCGGGGCACTTGGGGTACGTCCCCCGACCTGTGGAGTTTGTCATCGAAGAGACCTCGAGGCCCCCCAAAACGGTCCCTCGGGCCTTCCCCCGCCTCGACGGTGAGGACGCAGCTGTTGGAGATGCGCTCGGTCCTCCCAGACCTAGGGAGGGGGCAGGTTTCGGGGCGCGGTGAAGGGCCATCGCAGCTCGGGTGCGACACGCCTGTGGAGGTCAAGGCCAGGCCCGGCGCCGACCCCCGACCCCTCCCGCCTCGGCCCCCTCACCTCCTCCCGCGCCAGCGCCGCCCCTCGGTACCGGGGCATCTTGGCGGCGAAGGCGGCGGCCCCAGCCGGGGAGCTGAGGTCCTCCGCGGTGACGGCCAGGAACTCGGCGACGCTGAACTGCTCCGGCATGGCGGGCGCGAGCGTGGAGCTGCCGGAGCGGGGCGCGGGGGGCACTGAGCTGCTCCGCGCTGAGCCGGCCTCACCGCCGGCCGGGGGCGCCGTCCCGGCCTCCACACGCCCCGCCCCTCCGCACGCCCCGCCCCCGACCCTCCAGCCGCTCTCCGCTCCTCAGCTGGGACGGCCCCGCCCCCGGCTCCTCGCCTTCCTCCACCGCCAAGGTCCAGGCTCCGGCCCCGGTCCCGGCCCCGCACCGCGTCAGGCCGCTTCCCCGGCCCCTCGCCGGCCCCCTAGGCCACGCCCCCAGCCCCTCACCGCCTCAGACCCCGCCCCCTGGCGCGATGCCCCACCCCTGGCCTCAGTAGAAACTCCTCCGCCTTCCCCCATCCCTGCCCCTTCAGGGCTCTGTCCCGTTTCATCCCGCTCTGGGTCTTCCAAATCCTCCTCCCTTGCACGGCCCAGGCTGTTCCATCTCCGCGTCGAGTCTTAGAGCCCCCTCCCTCTTCCTCCCTCCTCTGCTGATTCGTTCCGAGTTCCCCATGACCTCGCCCCTTCTGCCCTACCACCCCCCCGCCACCCTTCCCTCCTCTCTCCCCAGTCCCGCCCAATCTCCTTGCCTCGCTCCGCCCCGAATCGCCCCACCCCTCCTTTGCTGCGTACGCCCAGCTCTCAGCCTCAGCTTTGCAGGCATCCGGAGACTCCCTCCTGATAACCCCCGCCGCCCCGGGGATGTGTGGATCGGGGCCCCTGGCTAGCTGTGTGACTTGGGGAAAATTACTTCTCTTCTGGAACCTCAGTTTCCTTATCTGTACAATGGGAAGCCTGATGCCCGCTTGATTGTGATGTTGCGAAGAACCGAACACGTGCGTGTACTAGTTCCCTCTTACCCGACCATAGATCGCACCCACGCCTTTACTCTTCCTGCTCCTGCCTTTCACCCCTTAATCTGGCTCACCATCCTTTGGGGCGGATGAGGGATGGGGTTCAGGATAGAAATCCACTTAGGTTTAGTTCTGAAGCCTGAGGTCCTCTGGGGAAAAGTTCTCCAAGTAAAAAGCTAGGAAAGCACCGCAGCAAGGAACATTGGTTTTGGAGTCAGAGGAACCTAGATTCCAATCTTGGTTACTTTGGATAAATTGCTTGCTTCTCTAAGCCTGCATTTCCCCCTCTTAAAATGGCCTCATGGTATTTTACCCCACAGGGCGGCGATTGAGAGAATCTTTTCTTTTCTCGCACAGAAAAGAAAAGAAAAGAAAAAATCCGGAAAGATATGCACTAAAATGTTGCACCAGCAACATTTTATGCACTAGCTGAAGACAGATATGCACTAGCTGAAGACATTATGAGTAACTTTCTTTTCTTTTGGTGAATCTGTATATCCTAACTTTTATACAATGACCATATACTACTGTGTAATAGAATTAAAAGTTGACGGGAGCGATGGCTCATGCCTGTAATCTTAGCACTTTGGGAAGCCGAGGTGAGCGGATTGTTCAGGAGTTCAAGGCCAACCTGAGCAACATGGCGAAACCTTGTCTCTACAAAATATACAAAAATTAGCCCGGCGTGGTGGCTCTTGCCTGTAGTCCCAGCTACTTGGTGGGCTGAGGCAGGAAAATGGCTTAAACCTGGGAGGTCAAGTTTGCAGTGAGCTGAGATCCTGCCATTGCACTCCAGCCTGGGTGACAAAGTGAGACCCTGTCTCAAAAAAAAAAAAAAAGAAAAAGAAAAAGAAAAGAAAGAAAAAAGAATTAAAAGTTGAAAAAAATGTGTACCATCTGATAGAGACGACAACTATTCCAAGAGTTCTTTCAAGGTCAACTTCTCCTGTTGAAACCAAATAGGCACTTTTCTTGTTATTTATTTTTAGAGACAAGGTCTCACTCTGTCGCCCAGGCTGAAGTGCAGTGCAATGATCATAGCTCAAGGCAGCCTCAAACTCCTGAGCTTAGGCACTTTTCTTGCTTGACTTTTAGGAGCATCTGACAATGTTAACCACTCCCTTCTCCTTGAAACACCCTTGCCCCTGAATCCTAGGAGAACTATTTTCTTTGGTGGCCCTCTCCCTCTGGCTGTTCCAAGAGCCCTTTCTGAGATGCACTTCCTCCGCAGGGATCTTAAATGCTGGAGTTGTTGGGAGCTCTCTGCTAAATCCTCTGCATGTCTCACTCTATCAGCCTTCCTGGATTTCTTCATCCAATCCCAACGGTAATGTTGATGTCTTCTGTACTAGTTTCCTGTTGCTACTATAACAAATCACCAATAACTTCCCTCAGCCTCCCGAGTAGCTGGGATTACAGGCACGTGCCACCACACCCAGCTAATTTTTGTATTTTTTAGTAGAGACGGGGTTTCGCCGTGTTGGCCAGGCTGGTCTTGAACTTCTGACCTCAGGTGATCCGCCCACCTCGGCCTCCCAGAGTGCTGGGATTACAGGCATGAGCCACTGCGCCTGGCCACATTTATTCTTTTACATGTCTGGAGGTCACAAGTCTGCAATAACTTTCACTGGGCTAAAATCAAGGTATCAGTGGGGCTGTACTTCCTCTGGATGCTATAAGGGAGCATCTGTTTTCTTGCTTTTGCAGCTTCGAGAGCTGTAGTTTTTGCATTCTTTGGCTTATGGCACCTTCCACCTTCAAGGGCAGCAGCATCTTCAAGCATCTTACTTGCCTTCTTCCCTGTGATCAAATTTCTCCCAGCCTCCCCACCCCTCTTCTTTTTGTTTTTTTTTTGTTTTTTTTGAGACGGAGTTTCACTCTTGTTGCCCAGGCTGAAGTGCAATGGTGCGATCTCAGCTCACCACAACCTCCGCCTCCCGGGTTCCAGCGATTCTCCTGCCTCAGCCTCCAGAGTAGCTGGGATTACAGGCATGCGCCACTATGCCCGGCTAATTTTGTATGTTTAGTAGAGATGGGGTTTCTCAATGTTGGTCCTCGAACTCCTGACCTTAGGAGATCCACCCGCGTCGGCCTCCGAAAGTTCTGGGATTACAGGCATGAGCCACGGCGCCCGGCCCCCTCTTTTTTTTTTTTTTTTTTTTTTTTTTTGAGGCAGGGTCTCATTCTGTCACTCCAAGCAGTGGAGTGATCACAGCTCCCTGAAGTCTCAACCTCCTGGGCTTTTGCGATCCTCCCACCTCAGCCTCCCAAGTAGCTGGGACTGCAGGTGCATGACACCACGCCCAGCTAGTTCAACCTCTCTCTTTTTTTTTTTTTTTTTTTTGAGACGTGATGCCTCTCTGTCGCCCAGGCTGGAGTGCAGTGGTGTGATCTCAGCTCACTGCAACCTCTGCTTCACAGGTTCAAGGGATTTTTGTGCCTCAGCCTCCTGAGTAGCTAGAATTACAGGCCCATGCCACCACACCCAGCTAATTTTTTATTTTTATTTTTTATTTACTTATATTTTTATTTTTTGTATTTTTAGTACAGACAGGGTTTCATCATGTTGGCCAGACTGGTCTCCAACTCCTGACCTCAAGTGGTCCACCCACCTGGACCTCTCAAAGTGCTCAGCCTCCCTCTTATAAGGACATTTGTGATTACATTTAGGGCCTATCCAGATAATCCAGGATAATCTCCCCATCTCAAAATCCTTAATTTAATCACACCTGCAAAATCTCTTTTGCTATATAAGTGCCATTTACAGGTTCCATGGATTAGGACCTGGATATCTTTGGGAGCCATTACTGAGCCAATCACATCTTCCAAGGCTGTATTTCCAGCCTGGACTCTTCTCTAGTTCAAGATCTATGTATCCAGCCACCTATGAGACAGTTTCATTTCACTGGCTCACAGACAGACACCTTAAACTCTACAGGTCCAAAACTGAACTCACCATCTCGTACGCCCACTCCTTGCACCAGATTGTTTTCTGTCCCTGTCTTGATGGAAGGCATTACCATGCACCCCCTCGGAGTCATCCTCTCCTCCCTTCTTCTACCAACCTCCCCTCAAACAAGTCTTGTCACTAGTCTCACCAGTGAGACCACCTTCTCCATCTGCAGGCCAACCCCAGTCCAGACCACTGCCACCTCTCACTTCCTCGCTGGTCTCCCTGCCCCTAATCTTGCATATCTGTTCTGTTGCTCCTCTACTTAGAACTCTTCAGTGCCCCCCGCATTGCTCTCTGAATAAAAGCCAAACTTGTTTTCATGGATGTCTAGCCCTGCATGGTCTTGCTGCTCCTGCCATTCACAGGCTGATCTCTTGCCTCTCTGTCCCCACTGTGATTGAGCCCCTTCACTGTTCTCCCCTCCGTCTGTAATGCTCTCCCACGTCCTTTCAGCAGGCCAACTTAGATGTCAATTCCTCCAAGAACCCTTCCTTGATGTACTTACTCTGGACTCCTACGGGATCCAGTATCTCCCACCACAGCAATTACCACTGTGGACTGTAATAATCAGTTTTCTGGTCTGGGGCTCTGGCCCACCTATTTATTTATTTATTTATTTACTACGTACTAGTCACAGGGCCAAGGGCTATACAAGCAATAGCTCACTCAATACCCACTCAATACTCACAGCAACCCTATGAGGTAGGTGACGTTATGCTTCCCATCTCACTGAAATTAAAGCTTAGAGAGATTAATTTGTATAAAGTCAGAATGAACAAGTAATATAACCAGGATTCCAACCCAGGTCTGCAAGACTTTAAAGCCTTCTTTGTTTTGTTTTATTGTTATTATTTTGAGACAGGGTCTCACTTTGTCACCCGGGCTGGAGTGCAGTGGCATGATCATGGCTCACTATAGTCTAAACCTCCTGGGCTCAAGGGATCCTCCCATCTCATCCTCCCAAGTACCTGGGACCACAGATGTGTGCCACCACACTGGGCTAACTTTTAATTTTTATTTATTTATTTATTTATTTTTGAGATGGAGTCTTGCTCTGTCACCCAGGCTGGAGTGCAGTGGCTCAATCTCGGCTCACTGCAAGCTCCGCCTCCCGGGTTCACAGCATTCTCCTGCCTCAGCCTCCCAAGTTGCTGGGACTACAGGTGCCCACCACCATGCCCAGCTAATTTTTTGTATTTTTAGTAGAGATGGGGTTTCACCCTGTTAGCCAGGATGGTCTCGATCTCCCTCCCGATCTCGTGATCCGCCCGCCTTGGCCTCCCAAAGTGCTGGGATTACAGGCGTGAGCCACCGCGCCTGCCACTTTTAATTTTTATATGGAGGTCGGGGGGCAGGGGTCTCACTTTGCCCAGGCTGGTCTCGAACTCTTGAGCTCAAGTGATCCTCCCTCCTCAGCCTCCCAAAGTGCTGGAATTATAGGTCTAAGCCACTGAGCCTGGCCATTCTCTCTCTCTCTCTTTTTAAGTAAAATAACTTTTTGTTTTTACTTAAATATGTGAACAATTCAATTACAGTGAAATTTTTTCTGAACCTCCAGGTTTAGGGTAATCTTTAAGTAATCTATAGGTATTTGATATTATGTCATGCCCGACTATGTTTATATTGGATCAAAATAGAGAAGGAGAGAAAACTGTAAGGATTCCAAGTGTTTGATATACCTAATGCAAATACTGTACTTTCAGTGCCATAATTTTTAAAATAGAACCTCTCAAGATAGCTTATCCTCATTTCTGCATACAATCAATAAATAGAGACTCAGGAGCAACTGCTTGAACAGTCCTCTGCTGGTACCGTTACCGGAAAGGGGTCCAGACCCCAAGAGAGGGTTCTTGGATCTCACACAAAGTCCATAAAGCGAAAGCAAGTTTATTAGGAAAGTGAAGGAATACAGAATGGATAACCTACAGGCAAAGCTGCCCCCAGGGGCTGCTGGTTGCGCATTTTTATGGTCATTTATTGATTATATGCTAAACAAGGGGTGGATTATTCATGAGTTTTCCCGGAAAGGGGTGCTCAGAACTGAGGGTTCCTCCCCTTTTTAGACCCTATAGGGTGACTTCCTGACGTTGCCATGGCATTTGTAAGCTGTCGGGGCACTGGTGGGAGTGTCTCTTAGCATGCTACTGTATTATAATTAGCATATAATGAGCAGTGAGGATGACCAGAGGTCACTTTGCAGCAATCTTGGTTTTGGTGGATTTTGGCTGGCTTCTTTACCACAGCCTGTTTTATCAGCAACGTCTTTGTGACCTGTATCTCATCCTGTGACTTAGAATGTCCTGCTTTCTGGGAGTGCAGGCCAGTAGGTCTCAGCCTTATTTTACCCAGACCCTATTCAAGATGGAGTCACTCTAGTTTAAACACCTCTGATGGTATTATTAGATTCTTGTGCTTGATTTTGGTTCACTGGCAAACTGCCATGTGCCAAGAGGAGAGTCCTCTGGGGTGAAGCAGTTGGGAGGGTAAGAAATGAGCTCAGAGAGGTCCTGGGATGCTTGCTCTCTGGAGCAAGTTTTTTTCCAGATAAAATCAAACCATCAAGGGGTTGGGCACAATGGGCAACATAGTGAGACTTCACTTCTACAAAAAATTTAAAAATTAGTCAGGTGTGATGGCACGTGTCTGTAGTCCTGCTACGTTCTGCTACTTGGGAGGCTGAGGTGGGAGGATTGCTTGAGCCCAGGAGTGTGAGGCTATACACAGCTTTGATCACGCCACTGGTTAGAGACAGGGTCTCGCTCTGTCACCCAGGCTGGAGCACAGTGGCATGATCATGGCTCTGTAACCTTGACCAATCCTCCTGCCTCAACCTCCAGATTCATTGCGACTACAGGTGCATGCCACCATGCCTGGCCTTGCTATATTCTCTTAAACTCTGCCTGATCAGAATTTTGCTCCCACCAGCCACTGAACTGCTCTCATCAAGGCCACCATGACCCCCCCACCTGCTGAACCCAGAGGTCAGTGCTCAGTCCTCATCCTGCAGCCCCTCCAGCAGCTGCCTAATGTCTCCCCCATTTCTTTACTTGGCCTCAAGACACCACACTGCTTTGATTTTCTTCCTCTCGTACTGGTGGCTCCTTCTTGAACTCCTTGGTTTGTTCCTCCTCTTCTTTCTGATTTCTCAGCACTGAGGACTCCTCTCCACTCTCCATGCTCACTCCCTTGGGATTCCACCCAGTCCCATGGCTTTAAATATCATCTAGATCCTGGTGATTCCCAACTTGTAACTCCAGCCTGGACCCTCTCCCTTGACCTGCAGATTACTATATCCAACTGCCTCCAGACACGTCTGCCTGGAAGTCTAAGGGGCCATCTTGAACTTAACCTATGCAAAGCTGAATTCCTGGCTTCCCTACCCAAAGTACCTATGCATACACACATGCACACACGCACGCACATGCACATGCACACACCTCTTCCTCATCTAAACTGGTGGCAACTTCCATTTTCTTCTTCTTCTTTTTTTTTTTTTTTTGAGACAGAGTCTCACTGTGCTGCCCAGGCTGGAGTGCAATGGCATAATCTCGGCTCACTGCAACCTCCGCCTCCCGGGTTCAAGCAATTCTCCTGCCTTAGCCTCCCGAATATCTGGGATTACAGGTGTGCGCCACCATGCCCGGCTAATTTTTGTATTTTTTAGTAGAGACAGTGTTTCACCATGTTGGTCATGCTGGTCTTGAACTCCTGACCTCGTGATCCGCCAGCCTCAGCCTCCCAAAGTGCTGGGATTACAGGTATGAGCCACTGCGCCCAGCCCACAACTTCCATTTTCTAGCGTTCAGGATGAACATTCTTGACTCTTCTCTTTCTCTCACACCCCACATCATGAAATCCATTGGCTCTATCCCTAAAATATATCTAGAACGCCACTCCTCATCACTGCACCGCTAGTGGCCTGGTCCAAGCCATTGTGATCTCTTGCCCGGATCACTGCAGGAGCCTTCATTGTGCTCTCTGCTTCCACCCTGGCTGCTCTACAGCCTATTCTTTTTTCTTTTTTCTTTTTTTTTTTTTTTTTTGAGAGAGAGGGTCTCGCTCTGTTGCCCAAGTTGTAGTGCAGTGGCAAAATCTTGGCTCACTGCAACCTCCCAACTTCAAGCAATTCTCATGCCTCATCCTTCCAAGTAGCTGGAATTACAGGCATGTGCCACCATGCCCAGCTAATTTTTCTATTTTTAGTAGAGATGGGGCTTCGCCATGTTGGCCAGGCTGGTCTTGAACTCCTGACCTCAAGTGATCCACCCATCTTGGCCTTTCAGAGTGCTAGGATTACAGGTGTGAGCCACCATGCCCGGCCTACAGCCTATTCTCAACTGAGCAGCAAGTGACTCTGATACCAGATCATGTCATTGCACTCTGCAAAACCCTCTAATGCCTCTCACTCAAGCCAAAAGCCAAGCCTTGCATGGCCTGAAGGTCTTACCTAATCTGCCTTCCTCTGACCTCATCCCTTCTCACTCTCCCTCTCCTCCCCTGCTCCAGTCACATTGACTTCCTTAGTGTTCCTTGAATATACTTGGCACACTTGTGCCCCAGGACCTTTGCACTGGCTGCTCCTCCTGCCTGGCATGGTCTTCCCACAGATATCCACATGGCCAGTGTTCTCACTTCTTTCTGCCAAGTCTTAGCCCAAATGCTACCATCTCAGGGAGGCTTATCCTGACCACCCAATTTAAACTGCTATTGGCCAGGTGTGGTAGCTCACGCTTGTAATCCCAGAACTTTGGGATACTGAGGTAGGCAAATCACCTGAGCCCAGGAGTTCAAGATCAGCCTGGGCAACATGGCAAAACTCCATCTCTACAAAAAATTTGCTGGGTGTGGTGGCACACACCTGTAGTCCCAACTACTCGGGAGGCTGAGGCAGGAGGATCACCTGGGCCAAGGGAGGTTGAGGCTGCAATGAACTGTGACTGCACCACTGCACTCCAGCCTGGGCGACAGAATGAGATCCTGTCTCAAAAAACAAAAAGACTATGATGATGATGATGATGATGATGATGATGATGATGATTATTTGAGACAGAGTCTCAAATTGTCACCCAGGCTGGAGTGCAGTGGTGTGATCTTGGCTCACTGCAACCTCCACCTCCCAGGCTGAAGCAATTCTCGTGCCTCAGCCTCCTGAGTCGCTGGGATTACAAGCGCACACCACCATGCTCGGCTAAATTTTTTTGTATTTTTAGTAGGGACCAGGTTTCACCATGTTGGTCA
Source organism: Homo sapiens (assembly GCF_000001405.40). Taxonomy (NCBI): domain Eukaryota; kingdom Metazoa; phylum Chordata; class Mammalia; order Primates; family Hominidae; genus Homo; species Homo sapiens. The sequence continues at coordinate 263,173 of NW_014040926.1, forward strand.
GGCTGGTCTCGAACTCCTAGCCTCAGATGATCCACCTGCCTCAGCCTCCCAAAATGCTAAGATTACAGGCATGAGCCACTGTGACCAGTCAGGATGATGATTATGTTAGGTCTACCTAGATAATCCAAGATAATCACCCATTTCAGGGTCAGCTGATTAGCTATCTTATCACCTGTAATCTTAATTTTCCCTTGCCATGTAATATCACATATTCACAGGTTCGGGGGATTAGGACATTGGATATCTTTTGGGAGTGGGGCATTATTCTGCCTACTGTGATGGGTAAGTAAGAAAACACTGTTGGCCAGGTGCAGTGGCTCATGCCTGTAATCCCAGCACTTTGGGAGGCTGAGGCGGGTGGATCATGAGGTCAGGAGTTCAAGACCAGCCTGGCCAAGATGGTGAAGACCCGTCTCTATTAAAAATACAAAAAAATTAGCCGAGCGTGATGGCAGCTCGGCTGAGTAGCTGTAATTCCAGCTACTCAGGAGGCTGAGGCAGAGAATTGTTTGAACCAAGGAGGCAGAAGTTGCAGTGAGCTGAGATCGTGCCACTGCACTCCAGCCTGGACGACAGAACGAGACTCCATCTCAAAAAAACACAAAACCCAAAAAAACGACAACAAAAAAAACACTGTTGTTGGGCAATGACATATAGGGACTTTGAGCTATGAGTATACCTGTGCTCAAAAAGCTACCAGGGGGCCGGGCGCAGTGGCTTACACCTGTAATCCCAGCACTTTGGGAGGCCGAGGCGGGCAGATCACGAGGTCAGGAGATCAAGACCATCCTGGCTAACATGGTGAAACCCCATCTCTACTAAAAATAAAAAAAAAATTAGCCGGGCCTGATGGCGGGAGCCTGTAGTCCCAGCTACTCGGGAGGCTGAGGCAGGAGAATGGCGTGAACCCGGGAGGTGGAGCTTGCAGTGAGCCAAGATCGCGCCACTGCACTCCAGCCTGGGAGACAGAGCGAGACTCTGTCTCAAAAAAAAAAAAAAAAAAAAAAGCTACCAGGGATCAGGGATCCCCACTGCTTCCAGGATAAGGGCAAGATCTCTCAGCCTAGCAGGCAAAGCATGTCATGAATTGACCTATATTCCCATTTTATGAACAGGTACTTTCTGGCTTCCTTGCTTCCACTCTACCTGAAAGCCCTTTTCTTCCATTTATGATCTTGAAAGTCCTTCCATTGATTATGGTCAAGTTCAAATGTTGCCTCTTCCATGAAACCTTTTCAGAACCCCCAGAATGAGTCTCCCTCCACTGTTGCTACTGTGGAATTTGTCTTGATGGGAGTCATTTGTGTATGTACCAGTTGGGGGTCGTTCCCATCTAAGCGTGGGCACCTGGACCATGGAGTCCACCTCAGCATAGGTCAGCAGTTCTCACACTTGAGTGTGCATCTGAATCACCTGGAGGACTTATTAAAATGCAGACTCCTGGGGCCAACATCCAGAATTTCAGATTCAGTTGATGTGGGATGGGACCTGGTCATCTGCATTTCTTTTTTTTTTTTTTAAGACAGAGCCTAGCTCTGTCGCCCAGGCTGGGGTGCAATGGTGCGATCTCGGCTCACTGCAACCTCCACCTCCCGAGTTCAAGTGATTCTCTCCTGTCTCAGCCTCCTGAGTAGCTGGGATTACAGGTGCCCGCCACTGCACCTGGCTAATTTTTGGTATTTTTAGTAGAGACAGGGTTTCACCATGTTGGCCAGGCTTGTCTCGAATTCCTGACCTCAGGTGATCCGCCCATCTCGGCCTCCTGAATTGCTGGGATTACAGGCGTGAGCCACCATGCCTGGCCAGTCATCTGCATTTCTAACAACTACCCAGGTAATTCTGATGCTGCTGGTCTGGGGAGTACACTTTGAGAACCACAGGCACAGAAGCTGAGATGTTGTCATCAGGCTAGACCTGGCTTCAAATCTCAGCTCTGCCTCTTACTCTGTGATTCTGGATATGTCCCTATCCCTCTCCGAGCTGCTTTCTCATCTATAAAAGGATTCATCTTCCCCTCCCCACTGGGGTGATGTGAAGAGTAACAGGCTTAGGACAATTCCAATTAGGACAATTGCAGGTTCTTAATAAAAGGCCTGAAGCTCTACCTCTAAAATTTTCCTCCCCCTGTGTTTTGGCTTCCTAGTAGGTGCTCAATAAAAACTTGTGAATTGGTTTTAGGGGAAACTACTGCCTTGGACACTTGGAAAAAAGGTGCTGGCAGCCGGGCGCGGTGGCTCACGCCTATAATCCCAGCACTTTGGGAGGCAGAGGACAGCGGTTCACTTGAGGTCAGGAGTTCAAGACCAGCCTGGTGAAACCCCATCTCTACTTAAAAAAAAAAAAAAAATTAGCTGGGCTTGGTGGCGTGTGCCTATAGTCCTGGCTACTCGAGAGGCTGAGGCATGAGAATCGCTTGAACCCAGGAGGTGGAGGTTGCAGTGAGCCAAGATTGTGCCACTGCACTCCAGTCTGGGCAACAGAGCAAGACTCTGTCTCAAAAAAAAAGCTGGCAACATGAGAAGTGGTGGGTATGTCTGGGTCAAAGGAATGAATGAACTTCACACTGGTGAGCATTTTCCTGACAATAACAATCACGTCAGAAGTGACAGCAGATCAACTGTATTGCAAGTTCATGGTTATTTATCCACAAAAGCTTCCCTAGTACCTCCAAGGAACCTGGTGGCTGGTGGCCCTGCCAGGGTTACAGAGCTCAAGGGAAGGTGGTGGTCCTCAAAGGGCTCAGACCATGAGGAAGATTTGTGTAAGTAGAGAAATAATGAGGCCAGGCTCATACCTGTAATCCCAAAACTTTGGGAAGCTGAGGCAGGAGGATGGCTTGAGCCCAGGAGTTTGAGAGCAGCCTGGGCAACTTAGCGAGACCCCATCTCTTAAAAAAAATACAAAAATTAGCCAGGCATGGTGGTGTGCATCTATAGTCCCAGCTACTTGAGAGGCTGAGATAGGAGGATGACCTGGACCCGGGAAGTCGATGCTGCAGTGAGCTGTGATTGTGCCACTGCACTTCAGTCTGGGCAACAGAGGTAGACCCTATCTCAAAAAAAAGAAAAAGAAAAGAAAAAAAAAAGGGGCCAGGAGCAGTAGCTCACGCCTGTAATCCCAGCACTTTGGGAGGCTGAGGCGGACAGATCACAAGGTCAGGAGTTCGAGACCAGCCTGGCCAATATGGTGAAACCCTGTCTCTACTAAAAATACAAAACTTAGCTGGGCGTGTGGCGGGCACCTGTAGTCCCAGCTACTTGGGAGGCTGAGGCAGGAGAATCGCTTGAACCCGGGAGGCAGAGGTTGCAGTGAGCCCAGGTCGTGCCATTGCACTCCAGCCTGGGCGACAGAACGAGTCTCCATCTCAAAAAAAAGAAGAAGAAAAGAAAGAAATAACAGGATCAGGCTTGTCCCAGGGACCTGAAAGTACAGCCTAGTAGTGGTGGTGGGATAGGGGATTGCTGGCCTTAGGGCACGCATTGTCTGGGAAGAGGATTCCCTGTGGCTGGGACACTGCCTACAGGCTTCCCCAAGGGCCTGTTTCCTTAGAATACCAAATACACACACATGCAAATCGTGCTTTCTTTGCTGCTCCTGAAGCCAGGTGTCTTCTCACAGTTTATATTTGAGGGACCACTAGTCAAACTGTTTGTGGGCAAAAGACTGTGTCTTTGTTTCCCCAGAATCTGGCAGTGTACACACACAGAAAATCTTAAAGGTCAGAATGGAGCCCCCATAATGCCAGTTAGGAGGCTGGACCACATGGAAGTCACAAGCATGGCCCTTGGAGCTTAGATGGCCACGTTGCAGTCTGGTTGTATCACCAGGACCGGGACTAGGGTGAGGCAGGTGAAGTGCCTCTCTTGCTCACCCTTACTAGCTGTGTGACCTCACATAAGTAAATTCACCTCTTTGAGCCTCACTGGCAATAATAATGCCTATTCTATAAGGTTTTTGAAAAGATTGCATAGAATAAAACCTGGTCACTAAAGAGATCTCAATAAAAGGTAGCTTTTCCCAATTTCTGCATTTGGCAGAGTGGCCAGCAGAGGGCAGTGGTCCCCATGCTGGGAAAATAACCTGCCTGGGCAGAGGCCTAGCTAGCGCTGACGGGGCAAACAGTTCGAGTGGTCAGGGATCCCTTTAATTGAGGGACTACACGCTCCAGGAAGGGGTGTGTGGCCATAACTGGGTCAACACAACCACTAGCCAACAGATACACTGGGCATCCTGCTGGTCACCCTTTGCTGTGGTCACTTGTTTCAAGCGATTCTCTTGCCTCAGCCTCCTGAGTAGCTGGGACTACAGGCACACGCCGCCACGCCTGGCTAATTTTTTGTATTTTAGTAGAGACGGGGTTTCACCGTGTTGCCCAGGCTGGTGGTGAACTCCTGAGCTCAGGCAATCCTCCCGCCTCAGCCTCCCAAAGTGCTGGGATTGTAGGCGTGAGCCACCACACTTGGCCCTGTTCTACATATTTTAACCATGGAGCCACCTGGCCTTTTCCCAAACAGCTCCTTCTGCCTGCTGTGCAGCCTTCTCCCCTTCTTTCCTTAGGCAAGCATCTCCTTCAGGCCCCATCCCCAACCCTCTCTGAGTCCATCTTTCCATAGATGGAGCCCATCCGAGCTCCCAGAGCATTCTATTCTTCCTTGATGGTGGCATTTATAACACTTTATTAAACGACATATTTATAAGACATGAAGTTTGGCTAGAGGTTAAGAGTAGGGTTTCCTGGGGCTGCATGGCCTGGGCTCTATCACATGTTGTGTGACTTTGTACACATTGCCCAACCTCTCTGAGTCTCAATTTCCTCATTTGTAAACATGGGGCTAATAACAATACCTACTTTATAGGGTTTTGCCAGAAACCATTTAGCCATAACTTTTAATGGCAAAAACCGCAATTACTTTTGCACCAACCTAATAAATGATTTTGTTGTTGTTGTTTGTTTGTTTGTGGTTTTTTTTTTTTGGTTGTTTGAGATGGGGTCTCACTCTGTTGCCCAGGCTGGAGTACAGTGGCATGCTTATGACTCACTGCACCCTAGACCTTCTGGGCTCAGGTGATCCTTCCAGCTCAGCCTCTCAAAGGGCTGGGACTACAGGCCACCACCATGCCTGGCTAATTTTTTGTATTTTTTGTAGAGATGGGGTTTCACTATGTTGTCCAGGCTGGTCTCAAACACATGGGCTTAAGTGATCCATCTGCCTCCCAAAGTGCTGGGATTACAGGTGTGAGCTACCACGCTTGGCCGGAAGCTAAATGATGTTATGCACACGAGGCCCTAATTTGTTGAATAAATGAATGAGCAAGTGAGTGAATCCACTGGGCTGTGAGCTCCTCAAGAATAAGGATTGTTTTCTTTCTTTTTTACATTTTGCAATGTCTGAATCCCAGTGTGGGCATTGCATGTTATCTGGTGCGGTGGTCCTCCTGACCAGTATTCTCAACATCACCTTGGAGCTTGTTAGAGATGCCCTTTTTTTTTTTTTTTTTTTTTTTTTTTTTTTTTCAGATGGAGTTTCACTCTTGTTGCCCAGGCTGGAGTGCAATGACACAATCTCAGCTCACCGCAACCGCCGCCTCCCAGGTTCAAGCAATTCTCTGGCCTCAGCCTCTCAAGTAGCTGGGATTACAGGCATACGCCACCACACCCGGCTAATTTTGTATTTTTAGTAGAGACAGGGTTTCTCCATGTTGGTCAGACTGGTCTCGAACTCCCCACTTCAGGTGAGCTGCCTGCCTTGGCCTCCCAAAGTGCTGGGATTACAGGCATGAGCCACCACGCCCAGCCCAGAAATGTCCATTTTTAGGTCCCACCTGTGACCTACTGAATCAGAAATTCTAGGGATGGAGCCCAGCAAGCTGTACTCTAACAAGCCCTCTGATTCTGATGAGCGCTAAAGTTTGGGATCTACCCAGCCAGCACATAGAGGCTCAAAGGTGTTTGTCTAAATATATGTTCAAATCCATAAGCTTTATGTGGTTTGAATTAGAATTGGCTGTAAGCTCCATAAAATGAGGGGGCATGGTTTCCCTAGCACCAGGTAGAGGCAGGCGCATAGTAGATGCTCAAAAAAGGTTTGTGGGCCGGGCTCAGTGGCTCATGCCTGTAATCCCTCCTGCTTGGGAGGCAGAGGCAAGCAGATCACTTGAGGTCAGGAGTTTGAGACCAACCTGTCCAACATGGCAAAACCCCACCTCTACTAAAAATACAAAAATTAGCCGGGTGTGGTGGTGGGCGCCTGTAGTCCCAGCTACTCAGGAGGCTGAGGCACGAGAATTTCTTGAACCCTGGAGGTGGAGGTTGCAGTGAGCCAAGATCGTGCCACTGCACTCTAGCCTGAGCAACATAGCAAGACTCTGTCTCAAAAAAAAAAAAAAAAAAAAAAGGAAAAGTTTTGTGAAACAAATGAACAAATGAGTGAAGAGCCCTTTTGGTTCTTTTTATGGTTCTCAGTATCTTAGATTTTCCAAAGTTCAGTTTCATTACCTGTTCTCTCTTCCAGGATCTGTGGAAGGATCTACAAGCAAAGTAAACAGCTTAATATACAAAACAAAAAAGTATTGTCACACTGTTGAGCACTTTGAAACTCTCAGTTAGAACCCCCGAAAGGTCTGGTTTTCTATCCCTGCTGCAACTCAGAGCTTGAGGCACCTCAAGAATCCTGCTGCGGCCGGGCACAGTGGCTCACACCTGTAATCCCAGCACTTTGGGAGGCCAAGGCAGGCGGATCACAAGGTCAGGAGTTCGAGACCATCCTGACTAACACGGTGAAACCCCGTCTCTACTAAAAATACAAAAAATTAGCCAGGCGTGGTGGTGGGCGCCTGTAGTCCCAGCTACTCGGGAGGCTGAGGCAGTAGCTGAGGCTGAGGCAGGAGAATGGCGTGAACCTGGGAGGCAGAGTTTGCAGTGAGCCGAGATTGTGCCACTGCACTCCAGCCTGGGTGACAGAGTGAGACCTTGTCTCAAAAAAAAAAAAAAAAAAAAAGAATCCTGCTGCAGACGCACACCTGCCAGGCCTTGGCCACCCAGGGAAAGAGGAAGCAATTTCTTAAGGCAGGTAAACACCCTTGACAAGGAGGGAGCAGTAGTTATGACCCCACCTTGGAACAGGGTAGATGCCCAATAAATGTCTGATAAATAAATGGCACTTGTTCAGGACAGCATTGTAGTTAATTGCATAAGTTCGAAACAGACTGGCAGGGGCTTTTTTCTTATTCCTTGTTTTATTGCTTTGTCCGGGATCACTAATACGATGTTGATTTGTAGGAATGATACTGGATGTCCTTCTCTCATTTCTAAAGTTTCACCATTAAGTTTGATATTTGCTGTGGAAAGTAATTCCTGTGTATTCTTATTTAGCTATCAGGTTTCTAAAAACCGTGAATGAGTGTTGAATTTTTCAAGTGTTTTTCCTGTATCTATGGAGATGGTCACATGGGTTTTTCCTTTAACTTGTTAATGTGAAGGGTTGAACTGATTGCTAAATAAGAATACCCGGGAACCATCACCATATCACTTTTAGAATATTTTAATCACACCCCCATAAGACTCTGTGTCCATTAGCAGTCTTCTCCCCTCCCCAACAACCTTAAATAACCATGAATCTCTATAAATTTGCCTATTCTGGATATTTTATGTAAGTGAGATCATATAGGTTGGGCATGGTGGCTCACACTTATAATCTCAGTACTTTGGGAGGCCAAGCCAGGAGGATCACTTGAACCCAGGAGTTTAAGATCAACCTGGGGAACATAGTGAGACTTCGTCTCTATAAAAAAAATCAAACAATTAGCTGTAGGTTGGTTTTTTACTTTCTTGATGATGTCCTTTGCAACAAAGAAGTTTTTAATTTTAGGCTGGGTGTGGTGGCTCACGCCTGTAATCCCAGCACTTTGGGAGGCTGAGGCGGGTGGATTATGAGGTCAAGAGATCGAGACCATCCTGGCCAACATGGTGAAACTCCAAATACAAAAAGTAGCCTGGCGTGGTGGCAAGCGCCTGTAGTCCCAGCTACTTGGGAGGCTGAGGCAGCAGAACCACTTGAACCTGGGAAGTGGAGGTTGCAGTGAGCCGAGATTGTGCCACCGCACTCCAGCCTGGCAGCAGAGAGAGACTCCATCTCAAAAAAAAAAAAAAAAAAAGCTTTTGATTTTAATGAAGTCCAATTTATCTATTTTCTTCCTTTTGTTACTTGTGCTTCTGGTGTCATATTTAAGAAATTATTACTTTGAGAGGTGAGGCAGGAGGATCACTTGAGGCCAGGAGTTCAAGACCAGCCTGAGCAACACAGGAAGAACCTGTCTCTATAAGAAATTTAAAAATTAACTAAGCATGGTGGCAGGCAAGTGCCTGTAGTCCCAGCTACACAGGAGGCTGAGGCAGGAGGATTGCTTGATCCCAGGAGGTCGAGGCTGCCGTGAGTTTTGTTCACACCACTGCACTCCAGCCTGGGCGACAGATGAGACCTTGTCTCAAAAAAAAAAAAAAAAAAAAAGTAAGAAATTGTTGCCTAATATAAGGTCACAAAGACTTATGTCTATGCTTTTTCCTAAAAGTTGTATAGTTTTAGCTCATATATTTAGATCTTTGATTCATTTCTGAGTCAAATTTTGTATATGTTGTGAGTTAGGGGTCCAACTTCATTCCTTTTTTTTTTTTTTTTTGAGATGGAGTCTCGCTCTGTCACCCAGGCTGGAGTGCAGTGGCGCCATCTCTGCTCACTGCAACCTCCACCTCCCGGGTTCAAGCAATTCTCCTGCCTCAGCCTCCCGAGTAGCTGGGATTACAGGCATGCACCACCATGCCTGGCTGATTTTTGTATTTTTAGTAGAGATGGGGTTTCACCATGTTGGCCAGGCTTGTCTTGAACTCCTGACCTCAGGTCTCCTCCTTCTTCTTTCTTCTTCTTCTCTCTCTTTCTGAGGCAGGGTGTCACTCTGTCACTCAGGCTGGAGTGCAGCTCCATCTTAGCTCATTGCAACCTCTGCTTCCTGGGTTCAAGTGATTCTCCTGCCTCAGCGGCCAAAGTAGCTGGAACCACAGGCATGCACCACCATACCCAGCTAGTTTTGTTTGTTTTTTGTAGAGACTAGGTCTCACTATGTTGCCCAGGCTGGTCTTGAACTCCTGAGCTCAGGTAATCCACCCGCCTTGGCCTCTCCAAGTGCTGGGATTACACGCGTGAGCCACCGCGCCTGGCCTACTTTTTGTCTTTGTAGGTTTTTCTATTCTTCATGTCTCATGTACATGGAATCATATGTGATTTTTTGTGACTCGCTTCTGTCATTTAGCACCATGTTTTTGAGGATCATATTGTAGAATGTATCAGTACCTCATTCCTCTATATAGTTGAATAGTATTCCATTGTATGAATCTAATACATTTTGTCTTTCTGTTCACCAGTTGATGGATATTTAGGTATTTCCAGTTTGGGGCTATTACGAATAATGCTGCTAGAACCATTTGTGTCCAAGTCTTGTCTTTGCATAGACATATGTTTTCATTTATCTTGAAGCAGAAATGATCCTACTGCAAGTAGAATAATTCTATACCTAGGAGTAAAATTACTGGGTCTTATGGTAGTTTTATGTTTATCTTTTTGAGGAGCTGCCAAACTTTTCCAAAGTGGCTACAAATTTTACATCCCCAACAATGTATGAGGAACTTCAACAATGTATTGGGAACTTCTGAGTGTTTCCTCATCTATAAAGTGGGAATAAGAGTAACTCTGATTTCCTGAGGTTGTTGTGAGCATTAAATGAGATTATGGTGTATGAAGGCCAGGAAACCTTCCAAAATGACCAACCCCCTCCCACCAACTCCTGTAATGTATACCAGTCACTACAATTGTTACATTATTTATAATTATATTTTTATGTGTTTGTGTTTTGTGAGCATCCTGAAAATGGGAACTAGGTCTTATTCATATTTATCTTCTCAGTGCCCAACATGTAATATTCAGTAAGCTATAACAATATCCATGTACAAAGTATTAATGATTACACGTTAATGTCAAGAAAACTACAAAAAGCTCTCCCTCTCCCTCTCCCTCCCCCTCCCCCTCCCCCTCCCTCTCCCCGTCCCCTCTTTCCACGGTCTCCCTCTGATGCCGAGCCGAAGCTGGACTGTACTGCTGCCATCTCGGCTCACTGCAACCTCCCTGCCTGATTCTCCTGCCTCAGCCTGCCTAGTGCCTGCGATTGCAGGCGCGCGCCGCCACGCCTGACTGGTTTTCGTATTTTTTTGGTGGAGACGGGGTTTCGCTGTGTTGGCCGGGCTGGTCTCCAGCTCCTAACAGCAAGTGATCCGCCAGCCTTGGCCTCCTGAGGTGCCGGGATTGCAGACGGAGTCTCCTTCACTCAGTGCTCAATGGTGCCCAGGCTGGAGCGCAGTGGCGTGATCTCGGCTGGCTAAAACCTCCACCTCCCACCCGCCTGCCTTGGCCTCCCAAAGTGCCGAGATTGCAGCCTCTGCCCGGCCGCCACCCCGTCTGGGAAGTGAGGAGCGTCTCTGCCTGGCCGCCCATCGTCTGGGACGTGAGGAGCCCCTCTGCCTGGCTGCCCAGTCTGGAAAGTGAGGAGCGTCTCTGGCCGGCCGCCATCCCATCTAGGAAGTGAGGAGCGCCTCTTCCCGGCCGCCATCCCATCTAGGAAGTGAGGAGCGTCTCTGCCCGGCCGCCCATCGTCTGAGATGTGGGGAGCGCCTTTGCCCCGCCGCCCCGTCTGGGATGTGAGGAGCGCCTCTACCCGGCCGCGACCCCGTCTGGGAGGTGAGGAGCGTCTCTGCCCGGCCGCCCCGTCTGAGAAGCGATGAGACCCTCCGCCCGGCAACCGCCCCGTCTGAGAAGTGAGGAGCCTCTCCGCCCGGCAGCCGCCCCGTCTGAGAAGTGAGGAGCCTCTCCGCCCGGCAGCCGCCCCGTCTGAGAAGTGAGGAGCCCCTCCGCCCGGCAGCCGCCCCGTCTGAGAAGTGAGGAGCCTCTCCGCCCGGCAGCCGCCCCGTCTGAGAAGTGAGGAGCCCCTCTGCCCGGCAGCCACCCCGTCCGGGAGGGAGGTGGGGGGGTCAGCCCCCCGCCCGGGAGCCGCCCCGTCCGGGAGGTGAGGGGCACCTCTGCCCAGCCGCCCCTACTGGGAAGTGAGGAGCTCCTCTGCCCAGCCAGCAGCCCCGTCCCGGAGGGAGGTGGGGGGGTCAGCTCCCCGCCCGGCCAGCCGCCCCTACTGGGAAGTGAGGAGCCCCTCTGCCCGGCCACCACCCGGTCTGGGAGGTGTACCCAACAGCTCATTGAGAACGGGCCATGATGACAATGGCGGTTTTGTGGAATAGAAAGAGGGGAAAGGTGGGGAAAAGATTGAGAAATCGGATGGTTGCCGTGTCTGTGTAGAAAGAGGTAGACATGGGAGACTTTTCATTTTGTTCTGTACTAAGAAAAATTCTTCTGCCTTGTGATCCTGTTGATCTGTGACCTTACCCCCAACCCTGTGCTCTCTGAAACATGTGCTGCGTCCACTCAGGGTTAAATGGATTAAGGGCGGTGCAAGATGTGCTTTGTTAAACAGATGCTTGAAGGCAGCATGCTCTTTAAGAGTCATCACCACTCCCTAATCTCAAGTACCCAGGGACACAAACACTTCGGAAGGCCGCAGGTCCTCTGCCTAGGAAAACCAGAGACCTTTGTTCACTTGTTTATCTGCTGACCTTCCCTCCACTATTGTCCTATGACCCTGCCAAATACCCCTCTGCGAGAAACACCCAAGAATGATCAATTAAAAAAAAAAAAAAAGAAAGAAAACTACAAAAAAAGATTCTTGAACTGGGCCTTCAAGAATAAGTAGGCACCCACTCAGCTCAAATGGAGCACAGGGCATCCTAGGTGGAAGGAACAGCATGTGGACAGGCCCAGAAGAGGGAAGACGTGTCGATTTCAGGAAATGACAAGGAAGCCCAGTGTGGCAATGGTGCTGGGAAAGGGTGGCCAGGGAGGCCACAGGTAAGGTAGAGGAAGCCAGTTGGAAGTTGTAAATAGCCATTTATACCATGCAAAAGGGTTAGAACTTCATCCCGAGGGCAGAGAGGAGCCATGGATGGGCATTAAGCAGGAGAGTAACGCGATTAGAACTACATTTTAGAAAGATCTTTCTGGGGATCGCTTCTCAGCCTTTTGGCTAAGATCAAGTGTAGAAAGATCTCTCTGGGGCAGCAGAAGGCATGCATTCTCAAACTTCAGCTGCATTAGACTCACCTGGGAGGTTCATGGAGCCTCAGAATACTGAGTCCCGCCCCATGAGTTTCTTATTCAGCAGGTCTGAGGCAAGGTCTCTTTTTTTTTTTGAGACGGAGTCTCGCTCTGTTGCCCAGGCTGGAATGCAATGGCGCCATCTCGGCTCACTGCAACCTCTGCCTCCTGGGTTAAAGTGATTCTCCTGACTCAGCCTCCTGAGTAGCTGGAGTTACAGGCGCCTGCAACCATGCCCGCTAATTTATTTTATTTTTTTAGTAGAGACGGGGTTTCACTGTGTTAGCCAGGATGATCTCAATCTCCTGACCTTGCGATCCGCCCGCCTTGGACTCTCGAAGTGTTGGGATTACAGGCGTGAGCCACTGCACCTGGCCTTTTTTTTTGCAGAGTCTCACTATGTAGCCCAGGCTGGAGTGCAGTGGTGTGATCTCACTGCATCCTCTGCCTCCTGGGTTCAAGCGATTCTCCTGCCTCAGCCTCTTCAGTAGCTTGGATTACAGGCACCCGCCACCAAGCCCGGCTAATTTTTTTATATTTTTAGCAGAGATGGGGTTTCACCATGCTGGCCAGACTGGTCTTGAACTCCTAACTTCAAGTGATCCACCGCACCCAGCGTGAGGCATGGTCTTGAATATGCATGTCTCACATTTCCAGGTGATACTGCTGCTGCTGGTCTGAGGACTACAGTTGGACCCACTGATGTAGAGGGTGGGAGGGAGAGTGTGGGCAGCAAGACCTTTCAGGAAGCTGTGGAAATAGATGGGGGAGACAGAGTCAGGGCTGATCACATTTTAGATCTGGGTGCTGCGAACTTTTCAGTGCCTTAATGGTGAGATTGCAGGCATGGTGATAAGAGACTGTATCTTGGAGGGAAATCCACTGGGCAATCATGTGCCCCCAGCATTGGCCAGGACAGCCCCCAACACCCAGCCTGCGGGGACCAGATCCACAGTTGGTAATGAGCTTCAGAAAGCACGACAAAGACAAGATGCCCAGAGCTGCAGTTTAATGTTTAATGCCCAATTATCTCAATACAAGGAGGCTTACATGGTGCTCATAAAGACACGACCAGGCGAAACCAGGCCGGCAGGAAATGACCCGCATGAGTCCCAGCACGGGGACCATGTTCTCTCGGTTCCAGCTCACCCTCGAAAAGTGCCACAGGCAAGGTTCTTCAGCTCACCCAGGAGCCAGCAGGCTGGCCAGGCGTGTGGCCACCATGGTCACTGAGGATCCTCGTGGGAGAATAGGGTTCTGGGACCTCAGGATACAATCACAAGAACCAGAAAGCTGCTTCCAAACAACCCCAGAAGGTTTTCACTTCACATGCGCTAAGCCACACAACACCTGGATGCTGGGGCACCCAAACCCTTTCCCTAAAACTCTGAACACTGCAGAATGGAGGTTGAGAACACTTGGGGAGGGAGAACAAAGTCAGAACCATCCTAAAGCCAGTTTTTCAAGCTTGACCACCTCCCTCTTCCTCCCTGAAGGCACACCAGCCGATCCCATTACTGTGGAAAAGGGACACCCTCTGGTCTATTCTAACACCTTTAATGGGAAAGGAGTTAGGAGCATGTCCCTGGCTTCAAGAAATCTCTGAATCTCCAACTCTACTGGATGATTTCCTGGAGCCCCAAGCTTTAGAAGTCCCTGGGGACACGAGTGATTTTTTTAGGGGGGCTGCTGGTGGGGCTGGGAAGTTTCCTGGCAGAAATTATTTACCTCAGAAAGACACTGGCTTTTCTCTTACCCTCGTTTTAAAGTCTACCTGGTCCCTAAAGAAAATACCACTCAGGCTGGGCCTGGTGGCTCGTGCCTGTCATCTCAACACTTTGGGAGGCCGAGGTGGTGGATCACTTGAGGTCAGGAGTTCAAGACCAGCCTGACTAACATGGCAAAACCCCGTCTCGACCAAAAATACAAAATTAGCCGGGCGTGGTGGTGCATGTCTATAGTCCCAGCTACTCTGGAGGCTGAGGCAGAAGAATCGCTTGAACCTGGGAGGCAGAGGTTGCAGTGAGCCGAGATCAGGCCACTGCACTCCAGCCTGGGCAACAGAGCGAGACTCCATCTCAAAAAAAAAAAAAAAGAAGAAAAAAAGAAAAGAAAATACCACTCAAAATGTGTCCTGAAGCACTCTGTGGAAGTCGGGAGGCTTCAAGTGTCACTGGCAAGACGGGGGCATGAGCTTGTGTCCTGCACTGAATCTGAGGCTTAGCCTGGGAGGTCTAGCCCCTTGGCCAGGCAAGGTGTGAAAGGGACAGTAGAGGGGGACAGAGGCAGCTGCTGAGCACACGGGGCACAAGCCTGAAGGCAGCTCCCCTGACCAGCCATATGGAGAGGCCTCTAGGGCATGAGCTTACATTCCAGACTTCAGTATTAAACTCATTCCCAATGGGTCCTGCAGGCCCCTTCTTCCTTTTCTCTGATGTAATTCTTGGGGAAAGCTCCAGAGCCCAAGGAATGGGAGTCAAACACCTCTGACTTCAGAGATGGCACATGGCTAAATGGCAGCCCAGTGGAGACCTCAGAGCAGCCCACTCACCACAAACGAGATCCTACACAGGGTCCCTGAGCATGCTGGACTTTAAGACGGGCGTCTGATAAGACCCTTGTGAGTATTTGGGTAGGAGACCAAAAGCATTTCTGCAAAGGGTACACAATTAGCCCTGCTTATAGAGTGGGGGCAGCTGTGACCCGCTGACCACTCCTGGGAGGGGGCTAACTTGGGGGCCCAGGAATTTGAGCAAATGATGAGGCACAATTGTCCCCAGCTGGGCATTAGATCACATTGGGCCCCACCCTGAAATAATCCCTCGTCTCAAACTTCAGACATCAGTCAGTCAGCTCAGGAGCCATCCAACAAAACCAACTTCATATTTTAAACCAGCTTAATGCTACAAACTTTTCTAAAAAGTGCTGTCCAGCTGAGCCTCTGAGAAAACCTAGCTCCCTGAGGGGTGGATGGCAGGCCTCTCAGACCAACCCCTGAGCCTCTCTCCAGAAGTCATAGCCTTGGTTCAGCCCAGAGCACCCACATCCCAGGGTGGGTGGGGGAGAAGAGCAGCTGAGCTGAAGGGACAATGTGGGATGATCAAGCCTCTGGGGGAACAGGCTGAAGCCAAAAGACCCCCTCAGGACCCCAGGCCTGCAGAGGTAACATGAGTTCCTCTCCCCATTAGCTGTGAAGGCCTGGTCTGCCATGAAGACCTCTCTCTGTCACCCCTTCAGTATACCTGGGAAAAAAGGAGTGAACAAGTCACCAAGCCCCAGTCACCTCTGTCCTTGGGGTCTGAGTGAGCTCTGAGGGGTGGAGTCCTTAATGAACCATCCCCTTCAATAACATGGTGAAAAAATTCCTCCCAGGGAAGCAGAGAATGATGCCAGTGCCACATGGGGGGCAGAGGGGATGCTTTTGGCAGTTTTTTGTTTTAATCTGACCCTTCTTTACAGTGGGGCTGCCTCTGCCTACCAAGTCCTTGGTGCAAAATGGCTCCTGGACCAGCGCAAGGCAGAAACTCTGAGGAAAAGTGCCCGCCACAGCCATGACAGCTGCCCCCATGCTCCTGTCTGTTTTCCACGGGAGCTTGTCTCTGCTGGACCATTTTTACATCTCAAGGGGAGAGGTAAGGACTTCCTCAGGAAAGGGGTCTCCTGAGCAGGTGGCTCCTGTTTCCACAGGAGCCTCAGTGCTACCTGCCCTAGGATGG
This sequence comes from Homo sapiens, assembly GCF_000001405.40. Lineage (NCBI taxonomy): Eukaryota > Metazoa > Chordata > Mammalia > Primates > Hominidae > Homo > Homo sapiens. The sequence goes on from NW_014040926.1 coordinate 279,131, forward strand.
CTCCCTGGGACCATCTCTGGGACAGAGGCGACCAGGAAGCCAAGACCGGCAGCTCAGCTGGAGATGTGAGGCCAAGAACAGGGGAAGAGGCAAAAGGGCCCACAGCTGCCGTTTACTAGAACCATGAGGCCTAAGTGCAATTAGCATTCTAGCAGACTGGACAGCCCCTCAGAGTCCCAGCCCCCACCACAGTGGGGAAACCAAGGATGTAGCCTGGGCCCCTCCCTTGGAAACCCAGACCTGCCCTGGAACATGGACAGTGATGGGCCTGTCTGCAGAGGTCTCACTAAAAACTAGAACAACCTCCCTGCTAAAACTCAGGGAGGACAAACAAACAACTCAACCTGAAATAAATACAAAGGCATTATGTGCTTCTTGGTACGTCGAGGGTCCTAATTACCCCTCAAAAGGAGGTAGCAGGGCCTTTCCCTGGACTTGGCCACCTCACCTGCAGCCTTCTTGTGAGAGGTCAGAAGTCAGAAGACTGGATGGGCCTCCCTAGGCCCAGCTTCCATTAGGAAGGTGAGGACCACCCCTTATCCACTCCTCACCCGTACCATTCATATCTCCCCACACAGCTTCTGCCGGCTGGGGCAGGAAAGGCGAGGAGACCCCATGCCCTGAGGGCAGCACCTAGTGTCCAATGTCCCTGTGCAGGCAGAGGGGCTGTCAGCCTGTCTGTGAGGAGGTAGAGTCGGGGGCAGGCTGCTGGGGGCAGGCAGGGCCACTCAATTAATCAACAGGTCCCCAAGGTCGTAGGAGTCGAAGAGATCGCTGATGCCCTCACCCGCCTCCAAGCCCCACAGGTAGTCGTCCTGGTCCAAGGATGGGGAGAAGCTGATCAGAGGGGAGCTGCACGCCAGGGTCGGGGACAGGAACTGGTCCTCAGTCTGCTGCAGGAGTGGGTGCGGCAGCTCCAGCAGGCTGTCAGTAGCCTCCAAGGGGACCAGGGATGGAGGCGGTGGGGCCTGCTGGGGGGTTGGCGCTGGTGCTGGCACTGGAGACAAACAGACAAAGGTTACGCCTGGCCCTAGCATCCAACTCCTCAGCACGCGAGGACAGACTTCCGGTTCTCTGGATGACTGCACCCTTCTTCTCTCTCCTTAGCCTGGGTGGACTGTCGTGCTCTCAAAATCCACCTTCCAGAGTCTACACCCAACCCTACAACTTTTCATGTATTTTTTATTTTTTTGAGACCGGGTCTCACTCTATCACCCAGGCTAGAGTGCAGTGTTGTGATCTTGGTTCACTGCAACCTCTGCCTCCCAGGTTCAAGCGATTCTCCCACCTGAGCCTCCCGAGTAGCTGGACTACAGGCATGCACCACCACACCCAGCTAATTTGTGTATTTTTAGTAGAGATGGGGTTTCACCATGTTGGCCAGGCTGGTCTCGAACTCCTGACCTCAAGTGATCGGCCTTCCAAAGTGTTGGGATTACAGGCCTGAGCCACTGTGCCCGGCCAAAAAGGAAAGAAATTCTGACACATGCTACAACATAGATGAACCCTGAGGACATTAAACTATGTGAAATAAGCCAATCACAAAAAAACAAATACTGTGTGATTCCACTTACATTAGATACTTAGTCAAAATCGCAGGGACAGAGAGTAGAAGGGTGGTTGTCAGGGGCTGGGCAGAGAGGGGAATGGGGAATAGGTACAGAGTTTCAGTTTTACAAGGTGAAAGGAGTTATGGAGATGAATGGTGATGGTTACACAACATTATGAATGTATTAATTACCACTGAACTGTACATTTAAAAATAGTTATGATGGTAAATTTTTGTTATGTTGCCTCTACTCTCCACCACACACAACTATACCTGACCTCATCACCCTCTCCAATTACTGGCCCATTTTTCTGCTCCTTTGCACAGTAAACTTTCTCCAGAGTAGCCTCAGCTTGTCTCCACTTCCCTATTACTATTCTCTCTTCAACTCACTCCAGTCTGGGGTCTCTCCCCACCATGTCCCTGAGCCAGTGACATCCATGCTGCTAAACCCAATGGTCATTTCTCTGGCTTCATCTTATTTGACCTTTCAGTAGCCATTCTCCAGCACTCTATGCTCATTTCTTTCTCGCCGCCTTCTTTTTTTTTTTTTGAAACAGGGTCTTGCCCAAGCTAGAGTACAGAGTGCAGTAGGGTGAACACGGCTCACTGCAGCCTCAACCTTCTGGGCTCAAGCAATCCTCTCGCCTCAGCCTCCTGAGTAGCTGGGACCACTGGTGCGTGCCACCATGCCCATCCAATTTTTAAACTTTTTTGTAGAGACAGGGTCTCACTCTGTTGCCCAGGCTGGTCTCGAACTCCCAGGCTCGAGCAATCCTCCTGCCTCAGCCTCCCAAAGTGCTGGGATTACAGACATGAGCCACCACACCCAACCTGCTCATTTCCACTTAGATGTTAAGACGGTGATTTCCCATACAGGGACATGCAATGAAGCACTGGAAATTGCCTGCCACATATATCCTGATGCTCAGAATCCCCCACATTGCAGTCACTCCTTAAGCCCCAGCCAAGTATTATTCTGAAGATACAACTGCGCTGGGATGCTAGGCTGCCTGTTGAGACTGGTGGTGCACCCATAGGCATGTGATTTCACATTTTATTTATTTATTTAATTTATTTTGAGATGGAGTCTTGCTCTGGACTTCACGTTTTAGAGCATCCATTTTCTCCCCTCTGCATGGGGCAGCATAGCACTACCTACCTCAAAGGGTTGCTCAGAGGACCGCATGGTAAGTGCATATGAAGCACTGGTTTGGCCTGGTGCGGTGGCTCATGCCTATAATACCAGCACTTTGGGAGGGCGAGGCAGGCAGATCACCTGAGGTCAGGAGTTCGAGACCAGCCTGGCCAACATGGTGAAACACCGTCTCTACTAAAAATACAGAAATTCGCTGGGTATGGTGGCAGGCATCTGTAATCCCAGTTAATAGGGAGGCTGAGGAAGGAGAATCATTGGAACCCAGGAGGTGGAGGTTGTAGTGAGGCAAGATCACGCCACTGCACTCCAGCCTGGGCAACAAGAGCGAGACTCGTGTCTCAAAATAAAAATAAATAAATAAACAAACAAATAAATAAATAAGCACTGGTTTGTCGGGTCTGCATGCTGCCCTTGCTCCTGTTAAAAATTGCTCCCATTTACCAAGGCTAATGGGGGAGGTGGTGGCACTGCCCTTGAGGCGAGGCGTGGTTCAGCCTCCTTGCACACTCAAATGGCCCTGAGGGAGTCCATGCTGTTACCCCTATTTACAGATGAGAAAACTAGGGCCCAAAGAAGTCCATTAAATGTATATTAATTAAAAAAAAAAATCTAAGGTTTGTTTGGCACGCTGCTGATGTTACAGTCAGAGGCCTGGCTTGGGAGCGGGGAGCATGTGGGCTCAGACTCTAGCGCCTCCTCTCACCAGCCATGGAACCCCAGAACTCTGTTTCCTCATGTGGAAAAACAGGGATGAGTATTAGAAGCAGTAACTGATAAAACACATGTGAAAATCTCTATTATAGGTCAGACCTTGCTGTCTCCTGCTGTTGATCACGTCCAGAAATAGAATCGCCTTTTGTAATATGTGTCTCTCCACCACACTCTGAATGGCTCTTACTGCTTTTCTGTCTCTAAAACAGCACCAGGCCCAGCTCAGTAGATGCTCTTCACACAAGCTTTTTTTTTTTTTTGAGACAGAGTCCCACTCTGTCGGTCAGGCTGGAGTGCAGTGGTGTAATCTCAGCTCACTGCAACGTCTGCTTTCCTGGTTCAAGTGACTATTGTGCCTCAGCCTCCTGAGTAACTGGGATTATAGGCATGCACCACCACCTCCGGCTAATTTTTGTATTTGTAGTAGAGACGGGGTTTCATCGTGTTGGCCAGGCTGGTCTGGAACTTCTGGCCTCAAGTGATCCACCTCCCTCGGCCTCTCCAAGTGCTGGATTACAGGTGTGTGCCACCGCGGCTGGCCACATAAGTTTTTTTTTTTTTTTTTTAAATCACATTTATGCCATGTCATCTTCTATAACCCATTCAATATTCATGAGGAAATTTCAAGTGTCCCCATTTGAGAGATGTGGGAACTGGGGCTTTGGGGGGTTAAAGTGATTCACTCACAGTCACCAAGTCACTAAGAAGTGAGATACAGGCTTGAACACAGGTCTCCCAATTTCAAATCCTGTGCCATCAGCTACATTTAGGTGTATCTCAGAATGTCAGAGCCTGGAGAAATGTCAGAGATGATGTTGTTGAAACCCCTTCCATTACAGATGAGGGAAACTGAGGCTGCAGAGAACACTTCCCCTGGTAATGCAGAACCAGGGCCAGGACCCAGGTCCCAAGACTGTAGTGGCTTCCTCTCTTACATGGCTTCTGGCACTCAGACCTCAAAATGATACTATTTCAGAACACAGCACGGAACATGTGTGTGTGTGTGTGTGTGTGTGTGTGTGTGTGTGTGTGTGTGTGTGTCTGTGCAGGAGAATCCCTTGAACCTGGGAGGCGGAGGTTGCAGTGAGCCAAGACCAGGAAAACTTCCTCCTCCTCCCTTCAGCAGGGATAATACTATGAGGCCATGTGACAAGGGTCGTGGGGACAGCCATGACATGAGAGCTGGCCCCACCAGACTGCTGTGTAAGCCTCTGCTCCTCTCTGGGCTTCAGGATCTTGATTTGTAAAACTCAGGTAAAAACTTCACACCCGGCTGGGCTCGGTGGCTCACACCTGTAATCCCAGCACTTTGGGAAGCTGAGGTGGGTGGATCACCTGAGATCAGGAGTTCGAGACCAGCCTGGCCAACATGGTGAAACCCTGTCTCTACTGAAAATACAAAAATTAGCCGGGCATGGTGGCATGTACCTGTACTCCTAGCTACTCGGGAGGCTGAGGCAGGAGAATTGCTTGAACTTGGGAGGCGGAGGTTGCAGTGAGCCAAGATTGTGCCACTGCACTCCAGCCTGGGTGATAGAGTGAGACTCTGTCTTAAAAAAAAAAAAACAACTTCACACCCTTGTTTATGCTTTGGGATCTGCCACCTCCACCCAAGGTCTCAGAGGACAACTGAAGCGAAGGTGGTTCCAGCTTCGGAGGGCTATGCGCATGCTGACACTTGAGTGAGGAGGCACAGCAGGAGGAGGATGGACCAGAGGGTGGGGCAGAGGTCTGGGATGGGAGATAGGCACTGGGGAGGTGTCCCAAGGGACAGATGGCTAGCACAGGGAGAAGCTCTGGTCCCTGATGAGGCCTGACAGACACAGGAGAGATCATTAGAGAAGAGTTGGGAGGCTGGGCTCTGGTCCCAGCTCTGCCATCAACTTGCTGTGTGACCTTAGGGAAGCCACTTGCCCTCTCTGGGCCTGTGTTCATTCATGTGTTAAAAGAAGGGTTGAGTTAGTTGGGGACAGCAAACTTCTATAAAGAGCTGGAGCCTGTAATCCCAGCACTTTGGGAAGCCAAGGCAGGTGGATCACCTGAGGTCAAGGGTTCAAGACCAGGCTGGCCAACATGGGGAAACCCTGTCTCTACTAAAAATACAAAAAAAAAAAAAATTAGCTGGGTGTGATGGCGGGCACCTGTAATCCCAGCTACTTGGGAGGCTGAGGCAGGAGAATTGATTGAACCCAGGAGGCAGAGGTTGCTGTGAGCCAAGATCATACCATTGCACTCCAGCCTGGTGACGGAGCGAGACTGTCTCAAAAAAAAAAAAAAAAAAAAAAGCTGGAGAGTATTTTAGGCTTTGTGGGACACTTGTGGTCTCTGTCACATAGTTGCCTTCTTTTTCTTTCTCCCACAACTCTTTAAAAATGTAAAACCATTCTTAGCTCATGGGTCATTAAAAGCAGGTCAGATTTGACCTGCAGGCAATAGTTTATTAACCTCTGAGTTAGAGAAATGGACACAACCAGTGTACTGCAGAGCCCTTCCAGCAAGCCTCTTCCATCAGCCCAGCTCTACCTCTACCTTGGTCTAAACGCTAGGGTTCTACTTAAGAGAATTCTGCTGCTAAGAAGACAAAAAGTGGAACACTGGCCTACATAGCCTTGAAGAATCCTGCCAGTCTAGCCGGATGTGTGATCCAGGAAAAGGCAAAAACTGTTCTGGAGAGGGGCCTTTACAGGCTTCCATTTGTACTCCTTCTGGACTCCCACCCTCCTTGGGAAGCTCTCAGGAACTTTGCTCCCTGGCAACTTACCTGTACTACCTTCCATCAGGGGTAGCCAGCTCTTAACCATACCGTCCACCTCCCAGCCAGAAGCCCCTTCTTCGATTTGATCTATGCCTTGTGGAGAGAGCACTGGGCTGGGAGTATGTAGACCAAGGTTCAAGACACAGCTCTGTTGCCTCCCAGCTGGGAGACCTTAGGTAAGACACATCACCTCTATGTCTTATTTTTTTTTTAATGGGCAAATTTTATTATTTTATTTTTATTAGAGATGGAGTCTCATTATGTTGCCCAGGCTGGTCTTGAACTCCTGGGCTCAAGTGATCCTCCCACCTCAGCTTCCCAGAGTGCTGGGATTATAGGTGGGGACCACAGCGCCTGGCCTATTTTTTAAAATTTTATTCTTATTTTTATTTTTGAGACAGGGTCTCCCTCTGTTGCCCACGCTGGAGTGCAGTGGCATGATCAGAGCTCACTGTAGCCTCAACCTCCATGGCTCAAGTGTTCCTCCCACCTCAGCTTCCCGAGTAGCTGGACTACAGGCGTGTGCCACCACACTCGGCTAATTTGTAAATTTTTTTATAGAGACAGGGTATCCCTATGTTGCCCGGGCTGCTCTTGAACTCCTGGTCTCAAATGATTCTCCTGCCTCAGTCTCCCAAACTGCTGGGATTATAGGCGTGAGCTATATAATCTCACAACAACCTATGAGTTAGACAGTATTAATTACTGCGCCCAACTCACAGATGAGAAAAATTGAGGCCAAGAGAGGTTAAGTAACTTGTCTAAGGTCACATAGCTGGTAAGTGGATGGGCTGGGATTCAAATCCAGGCCTTCCTCTGCCCTGGAGCAGCACCAGCCTTCCTAGTGAGGCTTTATAAAGCATTAAGTACAATGCACATGTGTGGGGTAGGATGACTACATCCCCAGCTGCTGGATAAAACAGGAGGTTTTCAACAAACATTGATATAGAAGAGAAAACTAAGGCCGGTCTCTCCCCCCACCTCCTGTCCCTCTGGACAAGGGACCTACCTGAGGATGCTGTGGGCTCCATGATGCTAGGGTCGGTGCTGCTGCTGGGCTGGGCAGAGTCAGGGCTGGGGCAGAGGGTGGAGGTAGAGGGGAGAGGCTCCTCGGAAGGACTGTCCGGCTCCTGCACCTCCTCTGGGCACAGGTAGACTTCGATGGGCCCTTGGGTGCTCTTGAGATATATCTGCAGGTTGTCCTGGAGGAGGAAGAGAAGCCAGGTCATTGCTCTGGGCAGCTGGACACTTACACTTAGTGTGTATGGACAGACGCACGTGGCTGCTGCCATCCATGGGTGCAAGCTCAAACCCTGGGCTGGCACTGAGACCAACTCCATCTGGCCTAACTAAGGTGGACTTCCGCTGTTTCTGCTGTCTGGCCCTGAAGCCCACTTCTTTTAGGGGGAACACCTTGATTTTCCTGTGGGAAATCACTCTTCCCCCCACTCTCAGGTCATCTAGTTTTGGGGCGGGGGGGGGGGGGCAGCACCCTTCCCCAATGCCAGTGGGTGAGCTTGTGACGCAGCCAGGAAAGTTAGTGTGACATGATTGGTTCAGGATGGCCCATGGCTCAGGTGGATCCAACCAGCACTAGGCCCAGGACTTTTGCTGGACTTGTGGGAAATGGAAGCCCCCTTCCCACTGGGGTTGCTGAGCTGGTATCATAAAAGCTACCTCTACCACCACAAGGAGAGAGCCCACCTGGGAATGGAGTCAGCACAGAGAAAAGCAGAGAGATGAAAAGCGTGAGACAGACCTGAAGTCATAGTTTGAGCATCTACATCCAACCTTGCCAGCAATCTCTGAATCTCCCCCAGGACTTGTCATTTGGTTCCCACCACCCCTACCCATACCTCCCGCTGAAGCCAGTTGGACTTGGCTTTCTGTTACCTGTAACCAAGAGTCCTAGTATTTGGTCTTCCCACCCTGTCCCTTCCCTACCACATAACCGCAACTTAAGCCACAACTGATGACATGCATGCCATCCAGGCACATGTCCAGGTCTCCATGCCTGTACTCACACAGAACTGCACCTAGCAAAAACCCTATTCATTCTTTAAGACCTAGTTTAACTGTCCCCACCTGGGATACCTCCTCTAACTACCCTTTCTCTATGCTTGCAAAGCACATCTTCAGTCTATAAATGACAGCGTCTTTTTCCCACTAAGTCGTGAACTCCTCCAAGGGTGGGGGCAGGACCTTAATTGTCTCTGCAGCCCCAGTTCTTCCTTTAAATAAATTATTTCTTGAGTCCTTATAATATGCCAGGCTCTGGGCAAGGGATACAAGGTGAGTAGAACATTCTCTTGTGAAGCTTACACCCTAATAGATGAAGCAGAATGCAATCGTGTAATCATGCCAAATATACCTCAGCAAATGGAGATTAAATTAAAGGCAGCGGAAAAGCACAGGTGTTTATGAAGTCTGGAGGTAATCAGAGAAGGCTTCCTTGAGGAAGTGACATTTGAGTTGAGACCTGTAGGATGAATAGCGGTAAATCAGGCAGAGAGGGAAGAACATTTCAGCTCGAGGGGAAGAGCATGTATGAGGGTCTTGCACGGCTAGGTGCGGTGGTTCACGCCTATAATCCCAGCACTTTGGGAGGCCAAGGCGGGCAAATCACTTCTATGCCGAAGTTCAAGACCAGCCTGGACAACGTGGCAAAACCTCGTCTCTACAAAAAAAACAAAAAATGTGCTAGGCATGGTGGCATGCACCTGTGGTCCCAGCTACTCAGGAGGGTGAGGTGGGAGGATGGCTTGAACCCGGGAGGCAGAGGTTGCAGTGAGCTGAGATCATGCCACTGCACTCCAGCCTGGGTGACAGAGCAAGACGCTGTCTTAAAAAAAATCAAATAGGTTGAGTGTGGTGGCTCATGCCTGTAATCCCAGCACTTTGGGAGGCCGAGGCAGGTGGATCATGAGGTCAGGAGTTCAAGACCAGCCTGACCAACATGGTGAAACCCCATCTCTACTAAAAAAAAAATACAAAACTTAGCCGGGAGTAGTGGCGGGCATCTGTAATCTCAGCTACTTGGGAGGCTGAGGCAGGAGAATCGCTTCAACCCAGGAGGCGGAGATTGCAGTCAGCCAAGATTGTGTCACTGCACTCCAGCCTGGGCAACAGAGTGAGACTCTGTCTCAAAAATAAATAAATAAATAAATAAATAAATCAAACAAAACAGAAGATCTCATACTAGGAATGAGCTTAGTGCAATGGGGAAACTGCAGACAGGTCAGTGTGGCCAAAACAAAGACAGATGGGGCAGCGGGGAAAAGGAGGTTGGCAACGTCAGCTGGGGTCTCAGAGCACCGAAGCCTCATAGGGAGTGTCAGGAATTTTGGTCTTTAACCTGGGAAAGCACGGTCAGCATGAAAGGATTTTCATGAGTATTGACACCGTCATACGTGGGCATGAGTGTGCATGTGCGCAGGAACCCAGGGCTGGTGGGATGCAGAAAGAAACCAGGAACAGAGATTTTCTCAGGCCACTACTCAGTCTCCGTTGCCCTTTCCAGCTTCTGCCATTTCTGCCCAAGCTTGAAGGCCACCAATATTGCCATGGACACCACAATGGGCCTGCAAAGCATGGGGCTAGGCAGTGCCAGGGACAGAGTCTGCAGAGCCGCCTGGAACGCTCCCTGGCAGGGTCTCAACCCTGCTCTCCACCAAATATTTCCCCTCTCACCTCAGTCCTGTCGGGCACTTCCAGTCTCGTCTGCGGAGGGGCCTTGACGGCAATCACTGTCTGCTCCTTAAAGTTGCCAACAGCACGGATATCCTGGTAAGTCACATAGGCCAGCGTAGGGCAGGAGAGTCAAGAAAAGTGACTGTCTGGTCAAAATTCAAACCCCAAACCTGCCAGGGAGCACCTTCACCCACCTCTCCTAAGCCTCTGAACATTACTTTCTCACTCCTTGTACAACTTAGAAATAATACAATCTGTAACCTGTTAATCTCATAAGCTACCTTAGATCCCTTTGGAAAGCAAATGGGAATATAAATCATAAAAAATGTTGCCTTACATTATAAATCATAAAAAATGTTGCCTTATGTAAAGGCTTCATCTCTCAAACTAGATCATTAGCTCTGAGAAGGCAGGAAGATGTGTTTTATTTCTTTATATTTCTCACAATGCCTAGCATCCTTCCAAAAATACAAGGTCAGATCCAAAACCAATTAGATATGAAATGATTTTGGAAAATGTATGAAAGAGCCTTAGCAAAGTCCATGCTCTTTGACCTCATCATTTCAATCCTAGGGATCTGACCTAGGAAACAAGTAAAAATATGGGAAAGCATTCTATGTATAAAGATATTCGGCCGAACGCGGCGGCTCATGCCTGTAATCCTAGCACTTTGGGAGGCTGAGGCGGGTGGATAACTTGAGGTCAGGAATTCAAGACCAGCCTGGCCAACATGGTGAAACTCCATCTCCACTAAAAATACAAAAATCAGCTGGGTGTGAAGGCCGGGTGCGGTATCTCACTCCTGTAACCCTAGCACTTACGAAGGCTGAGGTGGGTGGATCACCTGAGGTCAGGAGTTCGAGACCAGCCTGACCAACATGGTGAAACCCCGTCTCTACATAAAATACAAAAATTAGCCGGGTGTGGTGGCAGGCGCCTGTAATCTCAGCTACTTGGAAGGCTGAGGCAGGAGAATCGCTTGAACCCAGGGGGCAGAGGTTGCAGTGAGCCAAGATCATGGCACTGCACTCCAGCCTGGGCAGCAATAGTAAGACTCCATCTCAAAAAAAAAAAAAAAAAATTAGCCAGGCATGGTGGCGGGCACCTGTAATCCCAGCTACTTAGGAGGCTGAGGCAGGAGAGTCACTAGAACCCAGGAGGTGGAGGTTGCAGCGAGCCGAGATTGTGCCACTGCACTCCATCCTGGGCAAGAGTGAGACTCTGTCTCAAAAAAAAAAAAAAAAAAAAAAAAAAAAAAAAAAGCTATGTTCAGCAGGCACACAACTACATTACAACTATATTGAAATAAAACACATTCTGTGTGCAGTTCAAGAACAATGGCTATGTTAAGGTGGCAGCTCATCATTCTTTTTCTCCGTTTTCCAGATTTAAAGAAATTTACTTGGCTTATTTTCAATAATGAAAAAATACCTTTAATAAACTTGAGGCCAGGCACAGTGACTCATGCCTGTAATCTCAGCACTTTGGGAGACTGAGGCAGGAGGATCGACTGAAGCCAAGAGTTAGAGACCAGCCTGGGCAACAAAGCGAGACCCTGTCTATACAAAAAATAAAGAATTAGCCAGGCATGGTGGCACATGACTGTAGTTCCAGCTATTCAGGAGGCTGCGGTGGGAGGATCACTTGAACCCAGGAGGGCGAGGCTATAGCGAGCTATGATCATGCCATTGTACTACAGCCTGGATGACGGAATGAGTCCTTGTCTCTAAAAAAAATAAATAAATAATTTTAAAAATAGACTTGAGAAGAAAAGCCACCCAGGAAGGAAGAAACAGATGCCAGACCCTTAGGGTAAGTTACTGAATCAACTCAGGATAGATATAAACATGCAACAGGTTCCTGCTCCCTGACACCTTCCCCCAACCAAGGAGGATATCTCTTGTTGGCCTTGTCCTCAGTCAGGTGCTTGAAGCTCAGAGAGCAGCTCTGGATGAGCTGGTCCAAGGCCTGCTCCGTGTTCATCAGCTCCTTCAGCTCCTGCCCCAGCTGTTGCTGCTTCCCAGGTCTGGTGGGGTCTTCAAACATTCCCCTGCCTCTGGGAACAGAGCAGCCCCCCAGTGTCAGTCTGTGGGTGAAACTCCAGAACAAGGTCATTCAAAAAATAGTCTATGAGGGTGCTTCCCTGGGTTGTGGAAATCAGTGGTCATGCCTGTCTCTCAGGGAGCTACCAGGGATTGGAACCAGAGGTTTGGGGGTTGGGCTTGGGAGAAAAAACAAGTCAAGACCTGAACCCCATTTCTGAGGGGCTCTCGACTCTGTTCATCCCTATGCCCCAGCCTCCTCCAACTGGAGTAGCCTCAGTCCTGACTCCCTCCCCTGCCTGGTTTCTCTTAGGATTTATGCCAAGGGCTATAGGTCAGCTCTTTAAACCCTGTAGAAATGGAGAGAGGAGGCTGGAGTACTCCTATCTCAGATCTGGAAGGAGTCCGGGATCCCCCTACTTAGCTCCCAGGGGACTGCCCTAAGCTAGAAGAAGTGGATATTGGGATCTCTGACTCAAGAGGAAGAATCTGAGGTTCCCTTTGGCCTTTACACCTCCCAGATGTCATTCTCCACTCTGCCCCGCATCACGTTCTCCGATTACTTCAGCAGGTACACGGCGCTCTTCCTCACCATACATTGGCTCTACCCCCAGCAATAAGCCTATTGGATGTTGCTCTTGGTCCGCCTCAGCCCTTGTGCCCATTGGATGTTGCTCTCAGCCCCGCCCCTGCCACTCACACCCACTGGCTATTGCCTCTGGCTCCGCCCACAGCACAAGTACCCATTGGAGGGTACCACTGGCCGCCCAGGCACTCACACCCACTGGATGTTGTTCTTGGCCTTCTTGCGGATGAGCTGGATGCCTTCCAGCACGTTGGTGATGTCATAGATGCGCCGCTTCTGCACGTCCAGCACCTCAGCGGCCCAGTTCAGGTCCAGGACCCCATCCTCTGACTCGCTCAGGAGGTAAATGAACTTCTTGGTGAGCAGCCCCAGCGAAGTGTCATACCGAGTCTTCTCCCCGGGGGATTTGGGGGCTGAAGAAGAAAGGGACCCAGTCACAGCTCAGGGAGGGGAGGGCCCGCCCAGGACCCTCGTCCATTGACCTAGGCTCATTAAGTACCACCTTTCACCACCCACTTTCCAGTTTACAAAGCAGTGTGAGCCAGGGCATCCATCACCACCACTGTCCAGACAGGGAACCTGATACCTAAGAGGGAAGGTGACTTGCTTAAGGTCTCACGGCCAATGGGCAGTGTTGGAAGCCTAGTGTCCTGACTCCTGGTTAAATGCACATTTCCACCACAGCTTAGGGCTGCCAGACCACCACCCACAACTACTGTCACTGTTCTAAGTGCTTTCCATGTACGAACACATTTAAGCCCTACAACACCCTGTAAGGGTTGCTGTACAATCATCCCCATTTTATAGATGAGAATACTGAGGCACAGTTTAAGTAATTTGCTCAGCTCACTCAGCTAGAAAGTGGCAAAGCTGGAATTCAAATCCAGGCAGTCTGACTCCAGAGTTTTCCTTAACCATTACCCTATCCTGCCACTTAAATGTCCGGAGTTTGGAATTAGAATAGGGTAGAAATGATAAGCCTGGATTTAAGAGCATTTTTATAGACACACACTTGCTTTTTCTTCCCATGTGAATCACAATGATTATCTGAGAAAAATCGGTCCTGTAACATCAAGTCGGGGAGGTTCATGAGAAAGGTCCCTTTCTCAATGAGGTTGATGTTGCAAGACCACATCTCAGCTGCAGCATCTTAAACCACGAGGGGACTTTTGTAATCGAGTGACTTCCAAGTCATATAGCAAGTTAGTGGCCAATCCAGTAATTCTGGAACCTGAATTTTAGAGTCTTAGGTTCCTCTGGAGGAGGACCAGTTATCATGAGCCTCAGGATCCTTCAAGACAGTGCTCTGGGCAGCCTTGACCAATCAAATGTAGAGGAAACTTTCTTGCCATTCCTGATCTAGCTGTGTCTTCTTTTACACAAGACAACTAAGGTTCACAACAACTAAGGTTCACAGGAGTGACCTGTCAGGTCGGAGCAGAATCCTACCTGGACCCCCAAAACTAGTGTTCCTCCCAAACACAGTTGCTTTAACTCCTGCTCTAACCAGGATTTTTTTTTTTTTTTGGAGATGGAGTCTCACTCTCTCTCCCAGGCTGGAGTGGAGTGCAGTGGTGCGATCTTGGCTCACTGCAACCTGCCTCCCAGGTTCAAGTGATTCTCCTGCCTTGGCCTCCTGAGTAGCTGGGATTACAGGCATGCGCCACCACACCCGGCTAATTTTTGTATTTTTAGTATAGACGGGGTTTCACCACGTTGGCCAGGCTGGTCTGGAACTCCTGACCTCAGGTTATCTGCCCACCTTGGCCTCCCAAAGTGCTGGGATTATAGGTGTGAGCCACCACGCTCAGCCTATCCAGGATATTGACTGAAAATATCAAGAGGCAGCAACCCCCTCCAACTTAGCTTTAGGAAGGCACCACCTGGGCAGCCTCTGGATCTTAAAAACCTTTGGGGTGGCAGAGACTGGATTAATCTGTGCTTCCCTTCCCTTTGAATCACTTATTCAGCTCCTTGTCTGCATGTGGGAGAAAGACCCTGGTTAGCCCCTGCTCTTCTGATTTAGAAAAATTTACCTTGACCTAAACATTAAAACGTTTTAAAAATAATAAATTCCCAAATAAAACACTGGTCATTGAGTTTAGATCATGAGAGCAGTACATGGTATGGTAGAAGTAGTGCGAGACTGGCCAGGCATGGTGGCTCACGCCTGTAATCCCACCACTTTGGGAGGCCGAGGCGGGTGGATCATTTGAGGTCAGGAGTTTAAGACCAGCCTGGCCAACATGGTGAAACTGTGTCTCTACTAAAAATACAAAAATTAGGCAGGGATGGTGGCATGTACCTGTAGTCCCAGCTACCTGGGAGGCTGAGGTGAGAGAGTTGCTTGAACCCCAGAGGTGGAGGTTGCAGGGAGCCAAGATGGCACCACTGCAATCCACATTTGGTGACAGAGCGAGACCTGTCTCACAACAACAACAACAACAACAACAACAACAACAAAAAAAAACACAGAAGTAATGCAAGATTTACATGTCCAGGCTCTAGTCCTGACTCCACTCTGAGACTATGGGCAAGTCACTCAAGCTCTCTGAGTCTCAAGTTGCCTGATTAGTAAAGACAGACAAGCCTACCTACCTGGCAGGATCAAATAATAAAATACGCAGGAAGCTTTTGTAAACTGGAAAGTGATCCAAATATGACTACCAGTGATTGGGCAGGGCACTGCCCTCTGCCCCTGCCCCACCCCACCCCAGAGGCCCCATCAGCACTGCTTACTTTTGGGGCTGGGGAGGCCATCCACTCTGATGCACTTCCCCTTGGGGGTTGGGAACTCAGGGACGACGGGCCTCCCAATCCCCTCCAGATCCAGCTTCCTTTTGGCCTTGGAGAAAAGGGGGAGAGAGAGGCAGAGTTTGAGAATCATTCCTCCTTTAGCCTTTCCCTGATGTGGGGCCAAAGCAATGAAGCCACTTAGCAGCCACCTCTGTGCCTCAGTTTACCGCCAGTCCTGGTGAAGCACTGCTGTACTTGATAGGAAAACATCAGTGACCTGAGAAGTGAGCTTTCAGGGGAAATCTTGTTTTCTGAAGGGCAAATAAAACTCCCATCCTCTGAGGCCCAGGCACTTGAGACCCTACCAAAGCCAGTCTGGCCAAGGGCTCAGAGCTCCTTAACCACGGGCCCTAAGCCGGCTCCTATACCTGCTCCTCACCCCACCACACCCAGAGGATGATACCAGGAGGAAGCAGTGGGTGGGGCCTAAACCACATCAGGGTGGGGAAAGGGCCCCCCTACAGAAGCAGCTGGCCCAGCTAGACTGAGTGCCCATCACAGTCCCACAGCTGGTCCTTATCAGGGCGGGGCTGGGCATCCGCCCAGACCCAGGGGACTTCCTGGCTCAGTGCCACAACCCAGGGAGGTGCCCACAGTGGGAAGCAGTGCAAACATCCCCACCCCCATGTTTGGGCTCCAGCTTGAGGGCCCCAGGGCCTCCTGAATAGACTGCATTTGCCATTCTTTCTTTGCCGAGAGGGGCAGACAATGAATCCTTCCCGTGTCTTAAGGACAAGCAGCTGAGGCCACCCCCCCCCTCCAGCTCCCCCTTTCTGTTCCCGCCAAGCTTGGGAAACACCTGCTGGGGAAATCAAACCACAGACCCATCTGCTCCTCTCCACCCTGTTGCCACCCGGGCCCCAATTAGGCCCAGAGCTGCACTGGCCCGGAAAGGGCCTCTCTCCTGGTTAGGGCTGGGCAGGGGCAGGGCAGGGGCAGAGCTGGGGCACTGGGACACTGGGACATAGGTCAGAGACCCATGCTTGAATCTCCAGCTCCTTCGCAGGCTCACGGTACAAGTTGGGGGAAATGTTACACATCTAAGGAGCCTCAGTTTCTTCCTCTGTAAATGGGGTAAAAATGCCTACCTCAAGGGGCTATTGTAAGGATTCAAGGAAGGCACTACCTGGGCAGCCTCTGCATCTTAAAAACCCTGGAACAGGCTGAATTAATCCCCGCGTGGCTTCCCTTTGAAGCACTTATTTAGCTCCCTGTCTGCATGTGGGAGAAAGACCCTGGTTAGCTCCTGCTCCTTTAACTTCTGTAAAGTTCTCAGCCTGTGTCTCAGCACACAGTAGGTGTTCAGGAAACACAGAGTCCCTTCCCTAAAATCTAATCTCGACCTCTTCCTTCATACATCCTTCTGGGGGTCATCGAGCCCATTTCTTTCCTCTTTCCAACTCTGGATCCCCCAGACACCCCTACCCTGGCTTGGACAGAGAGGCCTATTTTAACATTTAGTGGTGAGGTCATGCTCAGCAGGGCTGAGACTTCTAACTGCTGCTGAGCACAGCTGGGCTGACAGGTGTTGGAGGTGGTGACAGCTCTTCCTGCTGTCAGTTCCCCTTCCCCCACTCCTGCCCCCTCCAGGAAGTCTTCCTGGGCTGATGTGAGGAGCCCTGCTCCTTGGTTTGAGGAGCCTGGATATAACACTCTTGCTTTCCACCACTACCGAGACCTGGAAACCATCCAAACACTTTACTGCTCATTCTTGAATGAGTCTCTTGAATATTCCTTTTCTACCTTCCTAACTGGTGAAATCCTATATTCTAGAGATTTAGCCCCATGCTGTCACTAGAGAAAGGGCCAGTCACTGGCTGAGACCTTCCACATGCCCTGAACCACGCCCCAACATTCATCACTTCACTGAATCTTCCCATACCACTAATCCCCATTGTACAGCTGAAGTAATTGAGGCTTGGGGAGCTCCGAGGCCTCCATCAATCCTGACCAAGGCTGCACATCCTAGTATTCTTCATATATCCCCCAGCAGGAGCACCAAGGGCAGGGAGAGGAAGGGAAGCTCAGGTGGAGTTCTACCTGAGGCAGAGGTGGGGCAGCCCAGAGCCTCCCCAGCCACACCTGTCTCCCCCGCCAGAACAAACCAGAAAGAATCCCAGGAAGACCTTGAACAGAATATCTATGCTGAGCCTGTTACATGCTCGTAACAGTCCTACCACATCAGTATTGGCACTGGCTCTCGGAAGCCAAAAAATGGAGACTTACAGAGAGTAAGCACATGCCCAAGGTCACACAAAGGCCGGAGCCAGGGTTTGAACCCAGGCCTGTCTGACTGCAAAGCCATGTACCAGGCTGCCTCAGCTGCATCCCACACACGCTGCCCCAGGATTTGCTAGAATTTGGGCCAAGGCCTGGGCTACGCCCACCTGCCCCCATCACTGCATGTACTTGCACACACACACACACACACACACACACACAGCCTTCTCTCTTTTCTCACTCTCCTTCACCCTTATTCTGCACTCCCAGGGTCCCAATGCGGCAAGTGTCCCCCTAAGGATACCTCCCTGACACCTTTGGACAGTGCCCAGAGGAAAGTCAGCCTATGGCTTGGGCTGAACCTGCAGAACACAGGTGGCAGAGGACAAGCCCAGGAGGATCAGCATCAAGGTGAGGCTGAGCACAGGTCTTGGAGTCAGACTGGCCTGGCTTTGCATCTAGGCCTTCCCCTTCTTAGCTGGGAAATCAGTTGACGTCAAGTCACCTATAAAATGGGCATCATTGTCTCCACCTATGCTGAGGATTCAGTGAGATAGTGCAGCAAAGCGCTTTGCCCATAGGGAGTGCCCCCACCAGGGAGCTGCTAGCACTGATGTATGGGGAGCACCAGTGGGAAAAGGGGAAAGTTCAAGGGTGAGCTGAAAAGAGACTGCGATGAGGGGAGGAGAGCAAAGGCTATGGCCACAGCCAGAGGCCAGCTTAGCCCTATCCTGGACGCTCTTAGGCAGCCCCTTTGGCTGGATCTTCAAGGCCTGGTCAGGACGCAAGCCCACCCTGCCAACCCCTATGGAGAAGAGTACAGCTCCTTCCTCAGGCAGCTGCAGAAGTGCAGAGGGTCAGAGATCACCAGGCACAACCCCCTTACGGGCACCACGGTGAGGAAACTGGGACTTGGGGAAGAGGAATTGACTTGCCCAAGGTCACGCAGAGTGGAGCCTGGTCTCTCCTAAGCCCTAAGTCAGATGGTGGGGGTAGGAGCAAATGTAAGGGGTCGAACCTTGCTTTCAGATCCCAGCTCTGCCACTTCGTAGCTGAACAGCCTGGGATTCACTGTCTTGCCTCTCTGAGCCTACACCTCCTCACCTGACCTGCCTTGTAGAGTTGTGTGTTAAAATGTTTATTTTCTTTCATGCCTCACAAGAGGAAATCTGGAAAATGTAGACAAATTGAAAGAAAAGGAGGACCGGGCGTGGTGGCTCACGCTTGTAATCCCAGCACTTTGGGAGGCCAAGGCGGGTGGATCACCTGAGGTCAGGAGTTCGAAGCTAGCCTGGCCAACATGGTGAAACCCCATCTCTACTAAAAATACAAAAAGTAATCCCAGCTACTTGGGAGGCTGAGACAGGAGAATCATTTGAACCTGGGAGGTGGAGTTTGCAGTGAGCAGAGATGGCGCTATTGCAAGCCAGCCTGGGCAGAGCTTCCTGCAGGCGTGAAAGAGAATGATGCCATGCGCCTGGCCAGAGGAGGCATGCGATAAAGGGGCATTCCCTGAGCCTTCCTCAGAGGACTTGGAAAGAGCTCTGGACAGGGAGCCAGGAGATCTGGGTTGTGGCCTTCATTCTGCCATTGAACTTGGTTGCCATCCTTGGACAGTGCCTGAGGTCCCTTTAAACAGAAGCTCCACAACAAATCCTGCTCACCCTGCACTTTGCAGCCCGGCCACAAAGCAAGCGGCCACACCCAGGGTTGGGTTTGGAGCTGTTCCAGGTCACGCCCTTGTAAAATGAGTAAGCAGAGGGCAGGCCTGCCCACGGGGCTGGGCCCCGGGCATCTGGGGATTGACAGGAGCGGGAGCTCTGGGCCTGGCAGGGCTTTAGGGTGGTCTGCTGCAAGGAGACTCCCCTGCTTCTTCACTTGTGACCCAGGCAAGTGACTTCCTTTCTTTGCTCAGTTTCCTTATCTGCAAGGTGCCTCATTCTGGACA
Source organism: Homo sapiens (assembly GCF_000001405.40). Taxonomy (NCBI): domain Eukaryota; kingdom Metazoa; phylum Chordata; class Mammalia; order Primates; family Hominidae; genus Homo; species Homo sapiens. The sequence continues at coordinate 298,587 of NW_014040926.1, forward strand.
TCCTGACCAAGATAATGAACGTGAAGAGTGCCAAGCAGTGTCTGGCACACGAGAGGCACTCAGTAAAAGAGAGACCTTCTTGCTAAGATCACTGAGCCCTTCTGGGAGGGAGGTACAGACAGATGTACTTGGGCTCCTCTGGGAGGGTTCAAAGCAGTGTAAAACCACAGCTGTTACTGAAACTTCCAGTCTGAAAGCAGCTGGCCAGAGGAGAGTGGGCCTGCCGCAAAGCTCCCTTCCCTGGGGGGAGCTCAGCTCCTAAGTTAGGCAGTATTAAAAAAAGTCAAGGCTACATAGAGAAGAGCCTGCTGCCTGACCAGGTGCATTAGAGTAGCTAGCTCATGCCTGTAATCCCAGCACTTTGGGAGGCTGAGGCAAGAGGATTGCTTGAGCCCAGGAGTTTGAGACCAGCCTGGGGAACATAGGGAGACCCCTGTCTCTACAAAAAATAAAAAATAAAAGACAGAAGAGCTGACTGCCTTGTGAGTCCCATCACTCTACCCCATCCCCATCTCTGACCTTAGGTCACATCCCCTCTCTGAGCCTCAGTTTCCCCCTGTAACATGGAGCTATTAATGCCATCTATTTCACGAACTACAAAGATGTTTTAGGCTATAAAACACTGAACACAAGATACCCAATCCCAGTTATCCTCGGTTGCTTAACCTGTAAAATGGGGATAATACCATTCCTGCCCACTGCCCTCCTAGTTAGAAATCATGTGCAGGAAGGGTCTCCAGGAAGGTTAACGTTTTGAACATGGGCAAAGCCTGAGTCCACTGGCAGGGAGTGGTGGCTCTGCCTGCATCCAGAGCTGGCTGGGCATCCGTGCTTGCTGACTAGCACAGGTCTGACCAGATGCCTCTGGGGCAGTGGGGGGTGGTCTTATCCCTGTACCCGAACTTATTCACCAAACTCACAACTAAGCAAACCTACAACACCCCCTTCCTCTCCCTGGAGCCTGCTTCCAAAACCCAGGACCTGGAGCTGAATGTGGCTGAGAAGAGCTAGCCCCACAGCCACCCTGTGCACACACGCATTGTGAAGGAGAGAACACTGAAGCCCAGACTGGGTCCAAGACTTGTCCAAGGACACACAGAGAATTAGTGGCAGAGTCACACCAGAAACCAGGCTCCTCAACCACCACCACCTCCACTCCCCCAGGCTTTTCCCACTCCACCCCCCACCCTAAAGTTGTTTTGATTCACACGGGCTCCAGGAATTCCACTCCCACAAAACACACCCTGAGCCCAGGTCAGCAGGCAGCCTGGTGCCACTACACTTTGGGCCCTCTCTGGCAACGAGCCTGGGAGCTTGAGGAGAGAGCAGCCAATCTGAACAGAACCCAAGGGGGCTGCCCACATTTGTATCTGCTACATGGCTGTCTGGGAGGGAAGACTGGGCCTGGGGGAGGACCTAGGGCAGATACTTGGGGCTATCTCAGGAGCTGGCTGGACAATTTGGAGTCTGTCCATGGCAGATTGGATGTGAGAGACCCACTAGACCTATCCCTCTGTCTTACCAAAGTCCCACAGTGTCCCCAGGCCATACTCTTTGCCTGGACAATAGCAGGCACCCAGTACTGGTTTCTGGCCAAACAATGAAGTAATGAATGAATGGCGGCAACGCTGGCTGCATGGACTTCCCCAAGGTCACACAGTGCACTGGGAGTAGTGAGTTGGGTCTCCCTCCAGACTCGCAATCCAGTGCTCATTCCACTCCACTAGAATGGATGAGATTATTTCATCCAAAGTCTGAAAATGAAGGGGTCTTCTACTCAGATATTGGGGGCACTGGGTCCTGGAAACTGAAAGCTCATCTTCCCTCTTCCCAAAACTCTACCTGCTCCACTCAAACTGGATCTCAGGCACCCCTCCCTCCTTTCCCACACCTGGAAAAGCATAGGGGGAAGCGGTGGGGGCCCCCAGCATTACCGGCAGCCGGCCTGCCGGCAGGCATCGCACAACTTGGCCCTCGGGTCCGTGGGGAGTGGCGTCGAGGCAGGTGCCTGGCGCCGCTGCGGGAGGCGCCGTCTGCGGGTACAGCGGTGTGTAGTAGGTAGCAGTAGCTGGGCAGAGCTGGGGGCTGCTGAGGCCGGATGGCCACAGCTCTGTGGGGCTCATCGCGGGCACCACCTTCGGGGTCTGCCCAGCGGCCGAAGCCAAGGCCCGGGGCCCTTGCAGCATAGCGAGTAAGGCGCCCCCTACCCAAAAGGGCTTGGCGCGCCCGCGGACACCTGCGGGTTCCGGTGCTGCCGCCTTTCACACGGCCCGCGGCATGGCGCGGAGGCCGGGGGAAGCCGCCAATGGACGCCTGCGGGGCAAGGCCGGACCCTCCCCTCCTGGCCCGCGGCCGAGCAGAGAGCAGCGCTTAGAGATCGCCGCTTGGAGATCGCCCGGCGGCTGCGGTGGTGGCACTGCCAGGGGCTGTCTCGTCCCGAGGGCACCGCGACCCGGGACGCCCCGCGCTCCCCAAGGCCTCGGCACCTGGGGTCCGGCCGGCTCTGGGGAGGGGTCCCCGGCGTGCCCTCAAGCTCGGCGGAGACGCGATGCGCTGGGATGGGGAGGGGGGTCTCGACTGCACCGACTTCCTTGCGGCTCGCTCTCTAGTCCTTGAGTCTTTCTCTGCCTCTTTTTTTTCTTCTTTTTTTTTTTTTTTTAGCGCCAAACGTCGTGCCGCGAAATTCGGATCTCCCGCGGAAAATGCCGCGCTCCGGTTGGCTGCTGCGACAGTACAGGCTCCACCCCCCCCCCCCCCCCCGGAAAGAACGCGTCCTCGAGGCGGCGATTGCAACACTAGCTTCGCTGCTTAAAGGGGCAGCCACACCTGCTGTTGGTGCCGCCAGCCGCCGGCCGCGCTAGTTAGCAGCCGGCGAGACGGAGACAGAGGGTGGTTCCGGGATTCACAGTGCAGAGGCGGCCAGAGCAGTGCACAGCGCCCCGAGAAATGGGCCCGGATTCCCTGGGATTGAAGGGAAACATTTTGGCGCGGGGTCCCAGCCTGAGCCCAGACCCAGCAGTGTATTCCCCAGGCCACAGGCCCTTTTGTTAGTTTGCATTGTTGCTTAGCTAGCACATGTGCATTCATATCCCCTTTCCTGCTAAAATGAAGGCCAGGAACCTGTTCCCTTTAATGGCAGAGGGGTGAGGGACGGAGGCAAACTAGTCTACTTCTTTGTAGGGAAAACTAACATCTATTCAGCGCCTACAGGATGCCAGGCACCATGCTAGATCCTTACAAGCGTTGTTTTAGTTAATTTATTCCAACAATCCTGGGAAGAGGAATGATGATCCCCATGATAAAGACTGACAGTCTGAAAGGCTGGGTAACTTGCCCAAGGTCATACAGAGAGATTCCCTGATTTGAGAGCTGGCAACAGAATCTGGGACAGGTCCCAGCTCTGGAGCCCTTGTTTTTCCAGTTAAGGGGTTCTTCTACTCTCCCAAGCTGCCTGGGGGCACAGCAGGGTCAGAGTCCCACTGCAGAGCTTTGTCTTGTTCACAGTTGTATTATTAGGACCCAATACTCAGTAAATGTTTGAACATCTCTAGGTTTCTTTTAAACAATCCTTTTGTCACAAGAGCCTCTCTGCCTCATTCAAAAACCTTCATTGCTGATAATACATTCCTCATCACTCCGGTTTAGAGAGGCTCAGAGAAGCAAACTTGGGTAGTGAGTGGTAAAAAGTTGCTAGAAGCTGCTGCTAGATTTCAGGTCTGATTTCTTGCCTGGTGCTGTGTGATTTTTATGCAAGTCTGAGCCTTGGCATTCAAAGCCCTCCAGAGACAGTCCACAGCTTAATTCCTCATTAGATGGTTGAGGCCAAGGTGGCAATAACCCATGATGATTAAGAGCCCAGGCTTTGTAGCCAACAGCCCCGAATTCAAACCCAGGCCCAGACACTTTATTATTCATTGTGTGACCAAGGCAAATTTTGTAAATTCTCTGATCCTTGATCCTTGATTTTCTCCTCCTAATAGCACTTACCTCATATGATCATGAGGAAATCTCATGAGATAATGCATATAAAGCTTTCATCACAGAACCTGGATCATAAGGAGCCTCAAGAATTGGCAGCTGTTGTTATATCTCTGACTTTTTTTTTTTAGACAGAGTCTCACTCTGTCACCAGGTTGGAGTGCAGCGGTGCAATTCTCCTGCCTCAGGTTCAAGTGAGTCTCCTGCCTCAGCCTCCCGAGTAGCTGGGATTACAGGCGCCAGCCACCATGCCTGGCTAATTTTTGTATTTTCAGTAGAGGCAGGGTTTCACCATGTTGGCCACGCTGGTCTCGGACTCCTGACCTCAGGCAATCCGCCCTACTTGGCCTCCCAAAGTGCTGGGATTACAGGTGTGAGTCACCGCTCCCGGTCACATCTCTGACCTTATCTCCAGTGCATAAGACCCTTTTACTCTAGTCTACGTATCTCATTGGTCCTTTTTGGTCCTTTGAGGGCCAGCTTAAATCTCACCTCCTCCAAGAAGCCTCCCCTGCCTGCTTCCTCTCAGCCAGAATGGCTCTTACCCTCTTGGGACCCTTAGTGTGTTCTACCTCAACAAAACAAGGCTTCGTTTTCATACCTTGTTTATCAGTTAGGTTCTATGCTCCTTCAAGAATCTAGGTCAGATCTCTCTAGAATGCCCCTTAGCATCTAGGGCCTGGCTTGGAGTGCAGAAGGCAGGTAATAAATACTGATTATGATTCACTCATCTGCCTGGCTGCAAAGAATAGGAGAAGTTAATGAGATCTGAAGTCAGAAAGTCAGGAGGCCCAGATTAAGTAAGTCCCGCTCTCTACTTCCTAGTTAAGTGACACTGGACAGCCGCTGCTTCACTTCTCTTAACCACAATTTCCTCAACCATCAAATGTGGATAATGCTATCACTCAGTCAATTTCACATTACTTCAGAGACACTACTTAAATGACAGTGGTGGCGATGATCACTGATTTTTATTGAGAACCTACTATACACTGGGCTCTAAGCACCTTGAGCCCCTCCTCTGATCCTCACAACACTGCTCTGAGACGGACACTATTATTATCCCCATTTTACAGATGAGGGAACCTGGAAGGAATTGTGGCAGAGCAGGTTTGGGGAAGCAGCAGGGCCCCAGGGCCAGGGAGGGAAATGGGGGTGGCAGGGTGGAGCTGGGAGAAAAGAAGGGAGCCAGTGAGGGGCTGAGAGCCAGCTCTCTGTGGTTGAGTTTCGGGCAGCTGGGGCTGGCTTTAGAGTTTCACTGCCTGGGAACTGACTAATTCTTGCAATAGGTGTGGGGCACAGATCTGAAATCTGCCTCCCTGAGCTTGAATTCCTGCCCCATTCATTCCTAGCATTGTGATCATGGTCAGGTTGCTGGACCATTCTGAGTCTCAATTTCCTCATCTTTGAAATGGAGGCGGCACAAGTGACCTCTCCATTTACTGTGAGGCCTTAGTAAGGTGTTGGTTATAAAGTCCTTAGAGAAATGTCAGGTGCATGGTAGGTACTTAATATATTTTGGCTAAGGTTTATGTGAAATGGACCCGAAGAGGCCCTCACATGGAACCAGACTAAATACTTGCAGTTTCAGGCCGGGCACATTGGTTCATGCCTGTGAACCCAGCACTTTGGGAGGCCAAGGTGGACAGATCTGTTGAGCCCAGGAGTTTGAGACCAGCCTGGGCAACATGGCAAAACTCTGTCTCTCCAAAATACAGAAAAATTAGCTGGGCGTGGTGGCACACGCCTGTAATCCCAGCTGCTCGGGAGGCTGAGGTGGGAGGATCACCTGAGCCCAGGGAGGTCAAGGCTGCAGTGAGCCATGATCATGTCACTGCACTCCAGCCTGGGTGACACAGTAAGACTGTCTCAAAATAAACAAACAGGCCGGGCACGGTGGCTCATGCCTGTAATCCCAGCACTTTGGGAGGCCGAGGTGGGTGGATCACTTGAGACCAGGAGCTTGAGATCAGCATGGTCAACATGGCAAAAACCTGTCTCTACTAAAAATACAAAAAAAAAAAAAATTAGCCAGGCGTGGTGGTGTGTGCTTGTAATCCCAGCTACTCGGGAGGCTGAGGCAGGAGAATCGCTTGAACCCAGGAGGTGGAGGTTGCAATGAGCCAAGATCGTGCCACTGCACTCCAGCCTGGGTCACAGAGCGAGACCCTGTCTCAAACACACACACACACATACACACACACACACACACACACACACACACACAAAACCCTCAGAGTTTCTGCCGTACACGCCCTACACTTTCCCATCTCCCAGGCTTTGCTTACCTGGCTCCATATCCTCCTATTCTTCAGGCCCCGCCTCCCCTCCAGGCCCCTCCTCCCCTCCATCCCCATGTGCCCAAATCTGACTCATCCTTCAAGGTCCAACTCAAATGGAGTGGAAGGAGCAAAGAATCTGAAGTCAGACATCCCAGGGTTCAAACCCAGGCCCTGACACTTTATTAGCTGTGTGACCCAGGCAAAATTTCCTAAATTCTCTGATCTTTGATCCTTGATTTTCTAATCCTAATAGCACTTACCTCATAGGATTGTGAAGAAATCTCATAGATAATGCATATAAAGCTTTCAGCATGGAACCTGGTTTATAAGGAGCCTCAAGAATTGGCAGTTTTCTTACGTCTCTGATCCTATCTCCAGTGCATAAGACCCTTTTACTTTAATCTACCTATCAACAAATCTTCAGACTCCTTGGGGGCAGGACCCAGGCTTTGTTTTCACTTTTGCGCCTTCCTCCCCTGAGATGCCAGGCACAAAGTAGGCCTGAAATAAATGATAATAGTTCACATTTCCTGAGAACTTCCTAGGCGTAAACACCCAGCTAGGTATTTTACATACATTATTTTGTCGAAACCTCCCAACTACCCTGTAACACAGGTACATTTTGGACAGATGAAGAAATTGAAGCTGAAATATGTAAAGGAACTTGACAACTGTTTGAAGATGAAATCAGGATCTGAACTCAGATCTCTCCCAAGGCACTGCGCTGTTGTGAACAGTGAACTCAGCCCCAAAACCCCATGTGAAGGAGGGTACATTCTGCTAATGAACCAGGGGTTCCAGTGCTGCACACATTGCTGGAAGTGGAAAGACTGTGTCCCACAACTGGATGAGTTGGGGATGCTTAGTACTATTTTCCAGATGAGGAAGCCATGACTTGCCTGAGGCCACAGAGCAGGTAAGTGAGGAAGTTCCTGTTCCAGGCAACCCCAGATAGTCCTGGAAAAATCCCCAAACTAAAGCAAACTTCCATTCCAGCTGGTGTATCTTCTCCTGAAAAATTCCACAGATTCCCTGTGCTCAAAGTCCTGTTAATCAGAATACAAACTGCTTGACAGACACTTCCTGAAGGTACATATTCCCTGTCCCGGGCTCCTCAGCACATCACCTGTTCACACGAATCCCAAATCACAGAGAAACCAGATCAGAGCTATGGGAAACAAGGGAGAAAAATCCCTGCTCCATCTTCTTTGTGCTTTTCCTATTCTACAATAAACATGTATTACTTTGGTGATTGGAGAAAAAAAAGTTGTTTTTTAAAAAGAGAAACAAGGTATTGCTTTAAGGAAGTTCTGCTAGTGGTAACCTTTTTACTGGAACATTGTTGGAAGATGGGTTCGTGGGCTTTTCTAACAGTGACTGGCATGTAGTAAACACTATATGAATGTTTGTTAAATACATAAAATTCTAGGTGCAGGCCGGGCGCGGTGGCTCACGCCTGTAATCTCAGCACTTTGGGAGGCTGAGGCGGGCGGATCATGAGGTCAGGAGATTGAGACCATCCTGGCTAACACGGTGAAACCCCGTCTCTACTAAAAATACAAAAAATTAGCCGGGCGAGATGGCAGGCGCCTGTAGTCCCAGCTACTCGGGAGGCTGAGGCAGGAGAATGGCGTGAACCCAGGGGCGGAGCCTGCAGTGAGCCGAGATCTCGACACTGCACTCCAGCCTGGGCGACAGTGACTCTGTCTCAAAAAAAAAAAAAAAAAAAAAATCTAGGTGCAGTGGTTCGTGCCTGTAATCCCAACACTTTGGGAGCCCGAGGTGGGTGGATCAGTTGAGGCCAGGAGTTCGACACCAGCCTGGCCAACATGGAAAAACCCTGTCTCTACTGAAAATATAAAAATTAGCTAGGTGTGGTGGTGCACACCTGTAATTCCAGCTACTCGGAAGGCTAAGGCAGGAGAATCGCTTGAACCCAGGAAGCGGAGGTTGCAGTGAGCCAAGATTGCACCACTGCACTCCAGCTTGGGAGACAGAGTGAGAACCCGTCTCAAAAAAATAAAAATAAAGAAAAATAAAGAAAAAAACATAAAATTCTAAATCTTGGCACTCCATAAGCTATGTGCTCTTGGACATATCATTGCATTACTCTGGGCCTCTGTTCCTTCATCTGATAAACAGGGCTAATCACAGCTGTCTCGGGTTTATTGCGTTGAAGTGAATCTGGGATGGGATGTGAATGTGCTGTGTGTGTGTGTGTGTGTGTGTGTGTGTACCAAAATTTATTAAGAAGGCAAACAATTTGGTTGGACAACTCTTCAAAGAAAATATACAGAGGCCAGGCCGGACGCAGTGGCTCACACACTTGTAATCCCAGCACTTTGGGAGCCTGAGGCAGGTGGATCACCTGAGGTCAGGCGTTCGAGACCAGCCTGGCTAACATGGTGAAACCCTGACTCTACTAAAAATACAAAAATTAGCTGGGCGTGATGGCGGGCGCCTGTAGTACCAGCTACTCAGGAGGCTGATGCAGGAGAATCGCTTGAACCCAGGAGGCAAAGGTTGCAGTGGGCCGAGATTGTGCTATTGCACTCCAGCCTGGGAGACAAGAGCCAAAGTCCGTCTCAAAAAAAACAGGAAATATACAGAGGCCAATAAGCACGTGAAAAGATGCTCAACATCATTAGTCATTAGGGAAATGCAAATCAAAACTACAATGAGATGACACTTCACTAACCCACTAGAATGGTTATAATAGAAAAGAGAGACAATAACTAGTGTCGTCCAGGATGTGGAGAACCCTCATACATTGGAACCCTCATTCATTGCTGGTGGGATTGTAAATGGGTATAACTGCTTTGGAAAATAGTTCAGCAGTTTTTAAAAAAGTTATACAGAGTTAACCACATGACTCAGCAATTCTACTCCCATATACCCAAGAGAATTGAAAACATATGTTCACACAAAAATGTGTACACAGATGTTCATAGCAGCATTATCCATAATAACCAGAAAGTAGAAACAACCCAAATGCCCATTAACTGATGATTGGATAAGCAAAATGTGGAGTCCAGGCACAGTGGCACATGCCTGTAATCCCAGCACTTTGGGAGACCAAGGCGGGTGCATCAATTGAGCCCAGAAGTTTGAGACCAGCTTGGGTAGCACAGTGAGACCCCATCTCTACAAAAAAAATACAAAAATCAGCTGGGTGTGGTGGCGTGCACCTGTAGTTCCAGCTACTTGGGAGGCTGAGGTGGGAGAATTGCTTGAACCTGGGAGGCAGAAGTCATGCCACTGCATCCCAGCCTGGATGACAGAGCAAGACCCTGCCTCAAAAAAAAAGTGGTATATTTATATAATAGAATATTATTCAGCCAAAAAAAGGAAAAAAAAATTTTTTTTTTTTTGAGATGGAGTCTCGCTCTGTCATCCAGGCTGGAGTGCAGTGGTGCGATCTCGGCTCACTGCAAGCTCTGCCTCCTGGGTTCACACCATTCTCCCGCCTCAGCCTCCCGAGTAGCTGGGACTACAGGTGCATGCCACCACGCCCGGTGAATTTTTGTATTTTTAGTAGAGACAGGGTTTCACCGTGCTGGCCAGGCTGGCCTCAAACTCCTGACCTCAGGTGATGGTGATCCACCACCTCAGCCTCCCAAAGTGCTGGGATTACAGGTGTGAGCCACCGTGCCCAGCCTTTTTTTTCTTAATAGTGACGGGGGTCTCACTATATCCCGTGGTCTGGTCTTGGACTCCTGGGCTCAAGTAATCCTCCTGCCTCGGCTCCCAAAGTGTTGGGATTATAGGCATGAGCCACCACGCCTGGCCCCATAAAAAGGAATGAGGTACTGATACATGCTATGACATGGAAGACTCTTCAAGACATTATGCTAAGTGAAAGAAACCAGACACAAAAGGCTATGTTTGTATGATCCCATTTAGTGAAATGTCTAGAATAGATAAATCTTTTTTTTTTTTTTTTTTTTTTTGAGACAGAGTCTTGCTCTGTCACCCAGGCTGGAGTGCAGTGGCATGATCTTGGCTCACTGCAACCTTCACCTCCCAGGTTCAAGGGATTCTCCTGCCTCAGCCTCCCAAGTAGCTGGGACTACAGTTGTGCACTACCACGCCTGGCTAATTTTTGTATTTTTAGTAGAGATGGGGTTTCACCCTGTTGGCCAGGCTGGTCTTGAACTCTTGACCTCAGGTGATCCGCCCACCTCGGCCTCCCAAAGTACTGGGATTACAGACTAGAATAGATAAATCTATAGAAACAAAAAGTAGATTAGTGGGGCTGGGCGTGGTGGTTCACGCCTGTAATCCCAGCCCTTTGGGAGGCTGAGGTGGGCAGATCACCTAAGGTCAGGAGTTTGAGACTAGCCTGGCCAACATGGTGAAACTCCGTCCCTACTAAAAATACAAAAATTAGCTGGGCGTGGTGGCAGGCACCTGTAATCCCAGCACTTTGGGAGGCTGAGGCAGGAGAATCGCTTGAACCGGGAGGTGGAGGTTGCAGTGAGCCAAGATCGTGCTACTGCACTCCAGCCTGGGCGAGAGTGAGACTTTGCCTCGGAAAAAAAAAAGGCCAGGCACAGTGGCTCAATCCCAGCACCTGTAATCCCAGCACCTTGGAAGGCTGAGGTGGGTGGATCACTTGAGGTCAAGAGTTCGAGACCAGCCTGGCCAACATGGTGAAACCATGTCTCTACTAAAAATACAATAATTAGCCAGGCATGGTAGCGCATGCCTGTAATCCCAGCTACTTGGGAGGCTGAGGCAGGAGAATTGTATGAACCCGGGAGGTAGAGGCTGCAGTGAGCCGAGATCACGCCACTGCACTCCAGCCTGGGTGACAGAGCAAGACTCTGTCTCAGGAAAAAAAAAAAGTAGATTAGTGATTGCTGGGAATGGGTCAGTCTCTGTACAGATGAAGAACATGAGGCTCAGAGAAGCCAATTGCCACCCATCTGTGTGACTTTGGACCAGTGACTTCACGTCTCTCAGTTGTGACGTGGAGAGAATGACGTGCGCCTGAGATGGTGGCTCTGCAGCTCAGTAAATGTGCCTGCGGCGCCTGGTGGGTCCCCCTGCGTCTTCGTTAGTTCCTTTTCCTTCTCTCAGACCTTTGGCTGGAAGCTGGTGGGGCTGAAAGGTGAAGGCTGCCACCTAGAGGTGAACTCTGGCACCTGCCAAAGCCTGCGAGGCGTCTTATCTTCTCATCAAGGTAACTCACCCGCTATGGGCTTGGGGAGGAGAAACAGGATGTGAAAGAAGCAGCCCCGCTGAGGACAGGGCTACTAGACTGGCCAGATTCTTTCCAGATGTTTGTAGGCCCTGGGAATGCTTTTCACAGATGTTGGGTCCCGTGGAGGTGATCCCATGCGGGAAGAGGGACATCCCATGCGGGAGTCAGGTCCCAGCAGAGCTGCTTAGCGTCTCTTGGGGAAATGCCACCTATAATTCCTTCTTCTTCTTTTTTTTTTTTTTTTTTTGAGATGGAGTCTCGTTCTGTCGCCCAGGCTGGAGTCCCGTGGCGCGATCTCGGCTCACTGCAAGCTCCGCCTCCCGGGTTCACGCCATTCTCCTGCCTCAGCCTCCCGTGTAGCTGGGACTACAGGCGCCCGCCACCACACCCGGCTAATTTCTTTTGCATTTTTAGTAGAGACGGGGTTTCACCATGTTAGCCAGGATGGTCTCGATCTCCTGACCTCGTGATCCGCCCCTATAATTCCTGTAATTGTCAGTTTATTCCCTCGTTTTCCTGAGGGATCTCTTTAACACACACACCTGACCTTGTCTCTCTCTAGTTCAAGGTCTGGCAACTAGCTCCCCACCACGGCCCAGCCACCCCCACCACCAGGTCCCTCCGATCTTCAGACCCTTCACACATGGGCCTTAGGTTTTTTTTTTTTTTTTTTTTTTTTTTTGAGACAGGCTCTCACCCTCTCACCCTGGCTGAAGTGCAGTGGCACAGTCTCTGCTTATTGCAACCTCTGCCTCCCAGGCTCAAGCGATTCTCCTGCCTCAGCCTCCCAAGTAGCTGGGATTACAGGCACGCACCACTACTGCCCAGCTAATTTTATATTCTTAGTAGAGACGAGTTTTTACCATGTTGGCCAGGCTGGTCTCGAACTCCTGACCTCAAATGATCCACCTGCCTTGGCCTCTCAAAGTGCTAGGATTACAGGTGTGAGCCACTGCACCCGGCCCCCTTACGTTCTAATCCAACACACTCTTCCTAACTCCCCTCTGACCTCTCAGCTCTCTCTATTGCCCATGCTGTTCTCCCTGCTTCACATGTCTCTCTCCATCTCTTCCACCAGAAAAAACTGTTCTGCTCTCAGATAGAAGTTTCTTCCTTCTTTTCTTTCTTAAACCAGATAAATAAATCATTGAGAATGCTGTGTACCCCCATATCCCCCACGTGATCTTAAACAGCACTCAATTTTAAAAGGGTGCATTTTTAACTCCTCAGGCTAAGAGAACAGAAACCTGGGACAAAATTAGGAATCCAGCTCACATGCCTGTAATCCTAGCACTTTGGGAGGCCAAGGCGGGCGGATCACGAGGTCAGGAGATGGAGACCATCCTGGCTAACATGGTGAAACCCCGTCTCTACTAAAATTACAAAAAATTAGCTGGGCGTGGTAGCGGGCGCATGTAGTCCCAACTACTCAGGAGGCTGAGGCAGGAGAATGGCGTGAACCCGGGAGGCGGAGCTTGCAGTGAGCCGAGATCGTGCCACTGCACTCCAGCCTGGGCGACAGAGCGAGACTCTGTCTCAAAAAAAAAAAAAAAAAAATGAAGCCAGCTCAATTGCTAACATTGAAAAATGACTCAGAACTCTTTTTTTTTTTTGAGATGGAGTCTCACTCTGCAGCCCAGGCTGGAGTGCAGTGGCGCAATCCCAGCTCGATGCAAGCTCTGCCTCCCGGGTTCACGCCATTCTCCTGCCTCAGCCTCCCGAGTAGCTGGGACTACAGGTGCCTGCCACCACGCCTGGCTAATTTTTTTTTTTTGTATTTTTTAGTAGTGACGGGGTTTCACCGTGTTAGCCAGGCTGGTCTCGAACTCCTGACCTCAAATGATCCACCCGCCTCGGCCTCCTGAAGTGCTGGGATTACAGGCGTGAGCCACCGTGCCCGGCCAGAACTTTTTTTTTTTTTTTTTTTTGAGACAGGGTCTCGCTCTGTCCCCCAGGCTGGAATGCAGTGGAGTGATCTTGGCTCACTGCAACCTCCACCTGCTGGGTTCAAGCAATTCTCGTGCTTCAGCCTCCCGAGTAGCTGGGACTACAGGCATCCACCGCCACGCCCAGCTAATTTTTGTGGTTTTTTTTTTTTCTTTCTTTTTAGTAGAAACAGGGTTTCACCATGTTGGCCAGGCTGGTCTTGAACTCCTGACCTTAAGTGATCCACCTGCCTCAACCTCCCAACATGCTGAGATTACAGGCGTGAGCCACCACACCCAGCCCAGATCTCTTTTGAAATAAGCAAGACATTCAGTTTTGAAATCGAGGTGGTTTTGGTGTTGGCCACAGTTGGGGTGGTGGTAGATTATGCCAGCCATCTTTTGGAAGCTGACCCTGAGCCCTGCACCCCACCTCTTGTTAGGAATCTCAATCTATCATTGTTTTTGTTTGTATGTTTGTTTGAGGCGGAGTCTTGCTCTGTCACCCAGGCTTGAGTTCAGTGGCGCGATCTCAGCTCACTGCAAGCTCCGCCTCCCAGGTTCACGCCATTCTCCTGCCTCAGCCTCCCGAGTAGCTGGAACTACAGGTGCCCGCCACCATGCCCAGCTAATTTTTTGTATTTTTAGTAGAGACGGGGTTTCACCGTGTTAGCCAGGATGGTCTCGATCTCCTGACTCGTGATCTGCCCGCCTCAGCCTCCCAAAGTGCTGGGATTACAGGCGTGAGACACCGCGCCCGGCCCGTTTGTTTGTTTTTGTAGAGAAGGGGTTTCACCATGTTGCCCAGACTGGTCTTGAACTGGAATCAAGTGATCTGCCTTGGCCTCCCAAGGCGCTGGGATCACAGGGGTGAGCAACCACACCGGCCCTCTATAATCGTTTTGCAATTGTAATTACAGTTGTTTTAATGTTCTTCCTCCCCACCCCACCCCCAGATTTAAGCTTCTCCTTGTCTTTTTAATTTTCACACCCCAATATCCAGCATAGTACCCACTGCAGAGTACAAGCACAAGAATTGCTTATTGAACTAAACTCAACAAAAGGTTTGTTTGTTTGTTTTGAGATGGAGTCTTGCTCTGTCGCCCACTGGAATGCAGTGGCCCAATCTTGGCTCACTGCAACCTCCGCCTCCCACAGGTTCAAGTGATTCTCCTGCTGCAGCCTCCCGAGTAGCTGGGATTACAGTCACGCACCACCACACCTGGCTAATTTTGTATTTTTAGTAGAGATGGGGTTTCTCCATGTTGGTCAGGCTGGTCTCAAACTCCCAATCTCAGGTGATCTGCCCACCTCGGCCTCCCAAAGTGCTGGGATTACAGGCATGAGCCACTGCGCCTGGCTAATTTGTATTTTTAGTAGAGACAGTTTCACCACATTGGCCAGGCTGGTCTCCAACTCCTGACCTCAGGTGATCCGCCTGCCTCGGCCTTCCAAAGTGCTGGGATTACAGGCGTGAGCCATGCGGCCTGGCCAATGAAAGGTTTTTTGGAATAGGTGCAAGATCACTCACAATCCCCTTCCAAGAGACTTTCCAAGAAAGTCTCTGGCCACTGTCAGAGTCCCTCTGTAACTCTGCTTGGGGGGAAATGGTGAGTTGGGGGCCTTATGAGGCCAAAGAGGTAGTCACAGGAGCCAGAATTCTCACGTACCTCCTCCAGGCTCATGAAGAGAGGCACAACTCACTTTTTTCCTCCCACTCCCTCCCCTCCATCTCTCCCTATTCTCTCTCTTTCCTTTATTTCTCTTTTTTTAGAGATAAGAGTCTTGCTATGTTGCCCAGGCTGGTCTTGAACTCCTATATTCAAGCAATCCTCCCACCTCAGCCTCCCAAAATGCTGGGATTACAAGAGTGAGCCACCATACCTAGCCTATAATTCACTTTCTAACCCACCTCCCCGCCCACTGCTCTCCCCCACGCCCTGCCCTATACACTGCCCCACCCCTGTGATTATTCCTCCCCAAACAAGCAGATCAAAAGTGATGCTAAGAAGTCGGGCACAGTGGCTCACTCCTATAATCCCTGCACTTTGAGAGGCCAAGGCGGGAGGATGGCTTGAGTCCAGGAGTTCAAGGCCAGTCTAGGCTACCTGGCGAGACTCTGTCTTTACAAAAATATTTAAAAATTAGCTGGGCGTAGTGGTATATGCCTGTAGTCACAGCTCCTCAAGAGGCTGAGACTGGAGGATCTCTTGAGCCCAGGAGGTCATGGCTGCAATGAGCTGTGATTGTGTCACTGCATTCCAGCCTGGATGACAGAGGGAAACCCTGTCTAAAAAAAAAAAAAAAAAAGCTAATAGTTGCAAAGCAAGCACATTCATGCCCGATCTGCTTAATTATCACAACAGCCCTATGAGGAAGCCACCATTAGCCCCACAGAACAGATGAAGGAACTGAGCCCAGGAGTAGTTCGATGATTATGCCTGAAGGACAGCTTGTGTGTCAGGGCCCTGAATTTTATTTACTATGTGTGGGTCACCTTTCTGAAGGCTCATAAACTTCCACGCATATGATCCTCATATCATCCCCATGAGATGTGTAATATCATCACCCCCATTTTATAGATGAAGAAACTGAGACTCTGAGCATTTACGTAACTTACCCAAGGCCACAGGGCTGGTGACAGTAGAGGTGGTTTTGAGCCAGGGCTGTCCAGGTACACCCTCTCAACCACTTTGTCATCCTTCCTCTGGATATTCTCTGGACACCTTGGCTTTAGCATGTGCAAGTAGGACGACACCCCCCTCACCAAGAGGTAGTAAGGATTAGATCTAATATGTGTGTGTATCTGGATCACAGTAAATACCCAGGAAAAGAGGTCATCATTTTTGTTCCTCTCTGACAATTGCAGCAACTGGCCGCCAGAGGGGAGTCATGCACTGAAGACCTAAGCCCTTCCCAGGTGACTGGTTGACCATTCAACGGTTAAGAATTGTGCTGGGCCCTTTTATCTCTGTGCCCAAATGTGGGATCAAGGACAGATCTCACCAGTACGGAACTACAAGGATCTTTTGACTCTTGCAAAAGAAATACAGCTTAGGCCTTAAAACCCATCTAAGGCCCCTTTACCAACACCAATTCTAGGACTGGGAGGGTGGGGGAGATCCCTGTGGAGGGAGGCCCAGCTGTGTCCCATTTGGTGGTGGCAGTGCTGGGGGAGCAGCAATTATCAGTAATTCCTCTCCTGCTGGAGGCTGGGCTCCTGGAGCCACAGCTGCAAGGTGGGAGGTGGCAAGGAGGATTTTGGAATTGTCTCCCTAAGGGGTTTCCATGGTTACAGATGGATACAGGCAGCCCACTAGGCTGGGTCCTTTCTCCATATTGTCTCCTGGGGAGACAATGGGCTTTGGGGATGGGGCGGCATGCCACGCAGATCATTTCTAGAGCAGGGACCATGAGTGCCTGCTCTGTGAACCCCTGGACCCCAGCTGCTGGGACAGAGGGAGTTGGGCACAGGGATCAGCCTTGGTAACCGACTGCTTGCTTTGGGGTACAACACTACTGCTACAGCAACTCAAGAGAGGCTGTCCGCTGAGCCACTCAAGCAAATCTGAGGCTCCAAAACAGCCAAACTGCAGAGGCCTCCAGGTATTTAAAAAGCATGCATTTTGGAGTCAGATAGTCATGTCATGATTCTGTCCCTTGCTAGCTGTGTGACTTGGGCAAGTTATTTTACCTTCCTGAGTCCCCGTGTCCTTATCGCGAAAGTGGGACAACACCCACTTTATAAAATTGGTGTGAGGAAGCAATAAGCACAAAGCCTAGTGCCAAGAAAATGCTCAGAGAGTTCCTAAGCTCAGGTGGGTTGATGGGGTCCTGGGATGTGGGACTGGCTCTGTACCCACTCTGTGGCCTTAGACAAGGCCCTTCTTATTTCTGGGTCTCAGCTGCTCCATCTATGACTTGGAGACTTTGAAAGGCTTATAAAGGATGAAAGCTACTCAGGAGGCTGAGGTGGGAGGATCCCTTGAGTCCTGGATCCAAGACCCGCTTGGGCAACATAGTGAGACCCGCCCTGCCTCGAAAGAAAAGGAAGTACCTGGCCAGGCGCGGTGGCTCATGTCTGTAATCCCAGCACTTTGGGAGACCGAGGTGGGCAGATCACGAGGTCAAGAGTTTGAGACTAGCCTGGCCAATGTGGTGAAACCCTAACTAAAAATACAAAAAACATTACCGGGCATGGCCAGGCGTGGTGGCTCACACCTGTAATCCCAGCACCTTGGGAGGCCAAGGCAGGCAGATCACAAGGTCAGGAGATCGAGACCATCCTGGCTAACACGGTGAAATCCCGTCTGTACTAAAAATACAAAAAAAAATAGCCAGGCGTGGTGGCAGGTGCCTGTAGTCCCAGCTACTCGGGAGGCTGAGGCAGGAGAATGGTGTGAACCCGGGAGGCAGAGCTTGCAGTGAGTTGAGATTCCGCCACTACACTCCAGCCTAGGCAACAGAGAGAGACTCCGTTTAAAAAATAAATAAATAAATTTCCTGGGCGTGGTGGCGGGTGCCTATAGTCCCAGCTACTCCGGATGCTGAGGCAGGAGAATTGCTTGAACCTGGGAGGTAGAGGTTGGAGTGAGCTGAGATCACGCCACTGCAGTCTAGCCTGGTGACAGAGCAAGACTCTGTCTCAAAAAAAAAAAAAAAGAAAAGAAAAGTACTTGGCCGAGCACAGTGGCTCATACCTGTAATCCAAGCACTGTAGGAGGCTGAGGCAGGAGGATCACAAGGTCAGGAGCTCAAGACCAGCCTGGGTAACACAGCAAGACCTCCCAATCTCTACACATTTTTTTTTTTAAAGTAGCTGGGTATGGTGGTGTGCACCTGCAGTCTCAGACTTAGGAGGCTGAGGTGGGAGGATCTCTTGAGCCCAGGGGTTTGAAGCTACAGTAAGCTATGACTGCACCACTGCACTCCAGCCTGGGTGACAGATTGAGACCCTGTCTCAGAAAGAAAAGAGGGGAGGGAACGGGAGGTGAGGGGAGAAAAGAAAAGTGCGAGCTTGGGAAAACAGAAATCAAAACACTAACACAACAACCCCATCTTCCAGGACTTAAATCCAGTTGGAATATGCAACATGTGATCACAGGGGCATGTGGTATTTGTGTAAGTAGACTCTGTGCTGTGGCAATTAAGGGAGATTTTTCTGAGGGAGGCAGGACTTAAGTTAGGCCTTCGAGAGTCTCAGAATCAGGAAAATATTCCAGAAAAATCTCCCACGCTATGCCAAGGAGAAACAGAATCCCAGAAGGGCGAAGGGACTCAGTTCTCTGCCACTCAGTTTCAAATCCTTCCTAGTCACTGCCTTTTCCCCAAGGAAGGGTGTGTGTACGTGGGGAGGAAAGGAAGGAGTAAGCAAAAACCATTGTCATTTATGTCCAATTTATGGGACACCTTTACATGAGTCAAGTTAATCATTAGCCCCATTTTATAGATAAGTAAACTAAGGATTGCTCTAATTTTTATCCAACTGATTTGGCGAAACAACGTACATGGCCCAAGAATAAACTTTGTCTCCAGTATGGAATACAAAACTTCCCCAAGGGAAATGTAAAACAATTCCTTCATGTTTAAATCATCAGCAGAGAAAATCAAATCGTTTACATGTCTATTACTTGTCCTTCTATTAAGAGGCACTTAGCACAGAGCCTCGAACATGGTAAGTGTTAAGTAAATGAAAGTTGTTGTCACTGTCACTGCTATTATTAAATGTATTACTACATATTCAATGCTGGGGATACAGAGGTCAATAAAACTCTCTCCCTGTAGTCCCAGCTACTCTGGAGGCTGACATGAGAGGATCGACTGAGCCCTGTTGGTGGAGGTTGCAGTGAGCCGAGATGGTGTCACTGCACTACAGCCTGGATGACAGAGAGAGACCCTGTCTTAAAAATAATGATAATAATAATAAAAATAACTCCCTTCTGTCTTTGAGAAATTCAGCCTAGTGAGAGAAAACGGGCTGCAAAAAAAATGATCTCTTACTTCCTGGACACACATATACCATCTCGTTAAATTCTCCAAACAACCTTGTGAGGAAGGTTTTTTCTTTCTCTCATTTTAGAAATAAGGAAACTGAGGTTCAGTGGGCTTCATTGACTTGCCCAGACATTGTAAAATATGAATAAAATATGAAATAAAATAGTGTTAGAAGACAAACACCTTTATTGGATTAACAGATACATCAAAAAGCAATAAAGTCTATTAATTACGTAAGGCACATAGACCATAGCCCATTTTATTTATTATTATTATTATTTTTTGAGACAAGAGTCTCACTCTGTCGCCCAGGCTGGAGTGCAGTGGTGTGATCTTGGCTCACTGCAATCTCCGCCTCCTGGGCTCACGCCATTCTCCTGCTTCAGCTTCCTGAGTAGCTGGGACTACAGGCGCCTGCCACCACACCCGGCTAATTTTTTTGTATTTTTTTTAGTAGAGATGGGGTTTCACCATGTTATCCAGGATGGTCTCGATCTCCTGACCTCGTGATCCACCCACCTCAGCCTCCCAAAGTGCTGGGATTACAGGCGTGAGCCACCACGCCCGGCCAGCCCCATTTTATTAAAGACTATGAAAGATAGCTTTTACTGAGCTAAAAAATGAGCCAGACTTTTGAGAGCTCTCATTTATGGAGCAACAACGAAGTGCCAGGCACTTTCCATGTGTCTGTCAAATCCTCATAACCCTGAGAGGTAGGAACAGTTAGCTCCCTTTCACAAATGACAAAGCTGGGGCTCAGAGAGGTGAAGTTACATGGCCAGGGTTGCACAGCAAAAGAGGGCATCGAGCCAGTGCTGGGACCCAGGCTCTGACACTTGGGCTAGGAGCTGGAGCCAGGCCTTTCTCCCAAGTCAGGTTTACTAAGAGCTATGCTGCTGCTGTGAGCCAATCACCCTTTCCTGCCTCACTCCACGGAGCGCGATGAGTGGGCGGGAGAGGGGACAGGCGGTTCTTCAGGGCAAGAGGACTTGTTTCAGCCCATTTGGGAAGCAGCCCGGCGTAGCATGGCCTTCTCAAAGTGTGTGTGTCTGCATGCATGTGTGCTCATGCATGCACACATGTGACTGTGTGTGATGTTGGCTGGCTGTCGGGTCTCACAAAGCCATGTGATAAAAATCTGGTACATCTTTCTGAAATGTCCGTTTTACTCAAAAAATACAAATAAAAGAAAGAGAGACATCACAATTTTATATTAAAACACAGAGGGCTATAGAATGTAAGAGAACACAACCTTCACATGGTATGTTAAGATAATGAATGACAACTAGCATTTGGGGGCTGTGGTTATTATTATGTGCCAGGCACTAATCTAAGAATTTTGTATGGTAACTAAGCCTCACAACAACCATCTGTGTAGGGACTGTTAGCAGACACGGAGAAGAGAAGTTAAGTCACTTGTCCAAGTTCACACAGCTAGTATGTGGAAGAGCCTGGGAACACAAAGCATTTCATTAGACAAATCTTAGAACATCTCTATTATCCATTGTTTGTTCAATTAAAAGTTTGTAACAAGGGTCAGGCGCAGTGGCTCATACTCCTGTAATCCCAGCACTTTGGGAGACCAAGGTGGGTGGATCACTTGAGGTCAGGAGTTCAAGACCAGCCTGGACAACATGGAGAAACCCTGTCTCTATTAAAAATACAAAACCCCATCTCTACTAAAAATACAAATCATGGTGATGGGTGCCTGTAATCCCAGCTACTTGGGAGGCTGAGGCAGGAGAATTGCTTGAACCTCAGAGGTGGAGGTTGCAGTGAGCCGAGATCGCGCCACTGCACTTCAGCCTGGACGACAGAGCAAGACACCACCTCAAAAAAAAAAAAAGTTTACAAGGACGGGTGAGGTGGCTCATACCTGTAATCCTAGCACTTTGGGAGGCCAAGGCAAGTGGATTGCTTCAGCCCAGGAGTTAGAGACCAGCCTGGGCAATATGGCAAAACCTTGTCTCCATTAAAAATATAAAAATTAGCCAGGTGTGATGATGGGTACCTGTAGTCCCAGCTACTTGGGAGGCTGAGGTGGGAGGATCACTTGAGCCTGGAAGGCCGAGGTCACAGTGAGTTGTGATCATGCCACTGCATTCTAGCCTGGATGACAGAGAGAGACCCTGTCTCAAATATAAACAATAAAAATAAAACAAAAAATTGTTTAAAAGTTTACAACAAGATTTATACACAAGAATGAGGATAAGAAGTAGCTGGCTCCGGCCAGGCACGGTGGCTCACACCCATAATCCCAGCACTTTGGGAGGCCGAGGCAGGTGGATCACTTGAGGTCAGGAGTTCAAGACCAGCCTGGCCAACATGGTGAAACCCCGTCTCTACTAAAAATACAAAAATTAGCCTGGCATGGTGGTGTCCACCTGTAATCCCAGCTATTCAGGAGGCTGAAGCACAAGAATCGCTGGAACCCAGGAGGCAGAGGTTGCAGCAAGCCGAGATCACACTACCACCCTCCAGCCTGAGTGACAGAAAGAGGCTCTGTCTCAAAAAAAAAAAAAAAAAGGTAGCTGGCTCCCCTTTTGCTTCCTCTTCATGAAATTATAAGGGCTGCCAGTTGGGAGCAGGTACTCTACCTCTGTTGTCTTATTTAATTCCTACAACAACCCTATGGGAGAGGTAGCATTGAAAGTTTACAGATGAAAACCTGAGGCTCAGGGAGGTGGTGTCATGTAGCTGGTCACACAGCTAAGAAGTGGCAGAGAAGGATTTAAATGCAGGTCTGGCTGATCACGAAGCTGCTGCTCTTACCTACACAGTTACACCAACCCTGGCCTCCACGTTCTCTGGCCTCTGGGTTATGTTCTTCCTCCCCACAACTCCTATTCTCTTCAAGAGAGGGTAGTTTCATGAGTGAGCTGGTTCTGGGTCAGGCTGAGCCAGGGGAGGCTCACAACCTCTGAAGCTCTGTCCCTCCAGCAGCCAAAAGCACACTTGTCATGAAATAATTACAAATTCCAAGAATGAGAAAGTAGTAATTAGGCACTGACTGGGAGCTTGAAGATCTGGATTTTTATCCCCAGTTCTGTGAGGGAATCTTTGCCTGAGTCACTTTCCCACTCTGGGACTCAGTTTCTCCATGTGTGAAATGAATCTAGTAATGCTTCTTGAGTGCCTGCCACGTCCTGGCAGGCTTTTAGGTGCTTTACATTCAGTATATCGGCACACAACTGTGGACAGGGTTCTTACAGTATTACAGGGAGGAGACTGAGGCTCAGAGAGGGGAAGGAGCTTGTCCAGGGTGGCAGAGCTTGGGAGTAGATGTGCTGGACCAGAGCTCTGCTTTTAGTCTCTGCACTGTTTATATTTATTCCTCAAGCCACTGGGCTTCGACGCTGATCAGATGCTGCCAGGCTGAGTGAAAGGGCTCTGCATATAGAGCGCCAATGCTGGACAAGAGTCCCGGGGTGCTGTGACTGGGTCATGCCAACCACATTGCCACTCTGGAAAGAAGAAGAAGGAATAAGGCTAGGAATCTGACACCAAGCCCAGCAAACTCTGTGGTGGGGGTCATCTGGAGCCTACCAAGTACCAGATGCTTTACATATGTCATCTAATTTAATCATCAATTCAACCATGTGAGGCTCAGAGACGACAAATAACTTACCTGTGGCCCGGTTCGGTGGTTCAGACCTGTAATCCCAGCACTTTGGGAAGCCAATGTGGGAGAACTGCTTGAGCCCAGGAGTTTCAGACCAGCCTAAGCAACATACAAAAAAAAAAAATTAGCCAGGCATGCTGGCGCACACCTGTAGTCCCAATTACTTAGAAGGCTGAGGTGGAAGGATCACTCGAGCCCGGGAGGTCAGGGCTGCAGTAAGAGCAGCGATCATGTCACTGCAGTCCTGCATGGGTAACAGATTGAGACCCTGTCTCAAAAAAACAAAAAGAAAACAAAAAACTTACCTGTGATAGCACAGCTGGTAAATGACAAAGCTGAAGTTTCAACCAGTGTCTGTATGTTTCCCAGACTCACAGAGAGAACGTAACAGGATTACTGCTGTGGCTGGAAGAGGCCAATTCTGCAGCACCCACCGGTTTGCATGAAGTTTCAAAACAGCTGCAGACATCCAAAGCACTGGGTAAGGAGGCCATCCTGTAGACTGTGGCTCTGACAGTTACTCCAGGGTGACCTTTAGCAGGTCCCCTAACACCTATGAGCCCTGAGGGGGGTGAAATGGAAGCACCCCCCAACCAGTCCACGTTACCACATAGACTGTAAAATGCCGCCCACTAGTGAATGGCCTCTTTTGAAACACTTTCTTGCTGTTCTCTTTGTATATGGAGTTGAACCTGCAGTGGAAAATGTGATTGACAGGGATTAACATCTAGGCCCCTTGGGGCCCACCTGGATGAACCCTCAGTGGAAGCTGGGATCATGAACAATGGATATGGAACCACTGTAAGACCAGGTGGCCCCTGGCCCTGATGAAGAGAGTCAGGGTGTATGTGGGGTGGGGAATGGAGCAATATGGTTGTCTGTCCTGATGGTCCTGAATCTCTCATCTCTTCCCTGCATAACCTACAGTGGCATGTCTTGAAACCCCCTTTTTTTTTTGGAGATGGAATCTCACTCTGTTGCCCAGATGCTCAGCTCACTGTAACCTCTGCCTCCTGGGTTCAAGTGATTCTCCTGCCTCAACCTTCCCTTCCCAGTAGCTGGGATTACAGGCACGTGGCACCATGTCCAGCTAATGTTTGTATTTTTAGTAGAGACGAGGTTTATCATGTTGGCCAGGCTCGTCTTGAACTCCTCCCCTCAGGTGATGTGCCCCCCTTGGCCTCCCAAAGTGCTGGAATTACAGGTGTGAGCCACCGGCCCGGCCTTGAAACCCTTTTTTTGATGCTAGAAATGGCATAGGTATAGGAGGCCGGGCGCGGTGGCTCACGCCTGTAATCCCAGCTCTTTGGGAGGCCGAGGAGGGCGGATCACGAGGTCAGGAGATCGAGACCATCCTGGCTAACATGGCAAAACCCCGTCTCTACTAAAAATACAAAAAAAATAGCCAGGCGTGGTGGTGGGTGCCTGTGGTCTCAGCTACTCGGGAGGCTGAGGCAGGAGAATGGCGTGAACCAGGGAGGCGGAGGTTGCAGTGAGCTGAGATCGCGCCACTGCACTACAGCCTGGGCGACAGTACGAGACTCGGTTAAAAAAAAAAAAAAAGACGAAAAAAAGAAATGGCACAGGCATAGGAAACAAACCAGTATTCAGAAATAACTTGGATCGGTGAGTGGGGAGGTTATTCTGGGGAGTCTGCCGTGCCTTGGGTACCCTCATTGCCACACAAGGCACATTTTTAGCCCCAAAGGGACCAACTGCCAGCTGGCCAGCGACCACCTCAACTCCGGGTAATGAGTTCCATATGTTTCCATAAGAGCCCAGCTAAGCTTTTCCCCAGCAGTTCTTACAGTGTTCTCTCCCTCCCTGCCTCATCTCGATGCTTGGCCACCCTTGTTCTATTTGCTCCTAACGAGGGTGGCAGGGAGGGGGCTAGGTGGGCAATGCCAAGAGACAATGCTTTGGGAAGTCACCCTTCCCTGACTTCATTTTTGCAGATCCTCAAGCTAAGAGGCAGTCTCTCGGCCTCTCCAGGCTTCCGCTGCCCCATCTCTATAGTGGGAAAAACAACCCTTACTCAGGGTAGGGAGAGCATCACGAAAAGAGCCCTGGATAGTAAAGTGGGAGGCTGGTGTTCCAATCCCAACGTGAACACTAACTTGCTGTGTGTCCCTGAGCAGGTTCCTGCCCCTCTCTGGGCTACATTTGTGACCTCTAAGGGCCCGCCCTTCCATCCCTGACAAGCTTCAGAATTACAACAAATGACTTAAACAGCAAGGAAGAACATCTGCTTTCCTGGGTGGCTTCAGGGTAGGGGTCCCCAGGAAGCCTAAGGCCTCCCTACCCTGGCCACCCTCACTCTAAGCCCAGGCTCCCTTTGACAAGTCTGGCCGGGTGAGAGCTTCTGCCTGCAGCATCGGGCACAAAGTAGAAGCAGGGTAGCAGTGAGGAGAGGCGTCCCCCGATGGAAGCACAGCTCCACAGCTCAGAAGGCGGAGGCGGGGGGGCGCCTATGGTCAGCCCCCAACGACGGCGAGAGGTGAATATGAGTTCAGGGGACTTCAGAGAACTCCTCCCTCCTTAATCTGGTTTGTCAAAGGCAACCCCCAAAGTCCCGGTCTCAAGGTGTCTCACTACCCTGATCCCGACTGCCCACCGACCCTACCCAAACACGGACTCACTAACCTTGGCTTTTGACACTGCCCACAGACGGACCCCCACAGCCTGACTACCCACATTTATCCCTAAAGCCTGCCCCAGGCTGGCGAAACCCCAAATCCGGCCACGCTCTGACCCCCGATCTCAGCCACAAAGAGACTCCGTGACCTTGCCACTGACTGACCCCTAAGAGGAGAACTAATCAGAGAACAATTAAATTGCTCGACTCTCAGCGAAGCACCTCATGGAACAGAGGGGCGGAGGTGGGGAAGGACTTCGAGAGGGCAGAGGCTTCCCGGAGGAGCCCAGCGGGCCTGGGGCCACACTCGGAAGGCCGGGAAGGCCCTGTGCAGGGCACGTCGCAGGCGCTCGAGGAATGCGAGTTGCCTGAAAGAACGAAGGAAGGAAGGAACCGGGTGCGATCCAGGGCGGCCTCGCGGACGGGGCAGGAAGCGGGTGGGGGTGCGCAGAGGCTGCAGCGGCCCGAGCGCAGCTGGGGGCAGCGGGAGAGGAGTGGGGTCAGCGACTCCGCTGGGTGGGGGGCCCCCCAGGCCGCGAGGCTGGGAACCGGGAGGCCGCGCTGCTGGCGGAGCGGCGGGGGCGCCGCGAGGCTCCGGATGGGCTGCGAGCCCCGCCCGCAGGCTGCGGAGGGAGCCGGAGCCAGAGCGGAGCCAGAGCTCAGACATCCGGGCGCCAGCGAACACCTGCGAGCGGCCCCCAGGGCCCGCGGGGGGAGCGTGGGGCGCCGGGAGGGGCGGGGCGGGGAGGAGGCGGGGCCGGCTCGGCTCCGCCCTGCCGGGCTCCAGGCCACGTGGGCCGAGGCTCTGCCCCAGCCCGGGCGCCGCAGCGCCGCCGGTGGGGAGCGGCTGTCTCCGGGGAGGTCTGGGAGTGGGCAGAGTGGAGCCCTTGGAAGCAGCGCTGCGGGAAAGAGCGCGGCAGGAGGTTCTCAGGTTTAGCCTGGGGCATGGGGAAGAGTCGTGGCCACGAGGGGTGATGAGGCCGGGAAGACAGATAATTGAAGGTTGTCCGGCGCGTCCACAGCTAGAGAGCTATAACTGGCTTTCTGAAAAGGGCACCATTTCTGGTGTCACAGACATGAATTTGAATTCTGGCTTTGTTACTTAGAAGCCGTGTGGCCACCGGCAAGTTACTTCGCCTGTTCTGAGCTAGTTCATTTATAAAATAAAGACACCTCCCAAATGTCTGTATTTCACAGCCGATGCGATCAGCTCTGAATCCGATCGCATGCGACAATTTGCACAAGACACTCAGCAGTGAATCTTGTAGTTAAGGAAGCCTCGTGGATACTTTATGCGCCTTATAGTTTATCCGAACAACACACATGGAAGGGAGGTACCGACATCCCCCTTTCACAGATGAGGGGGAGTCCTAGGTCTTTCATTCCACAAGCGCTCCCTGGGACAAGCACCCCCTGGGGACCAAGCATGTGCCAGGCTTTGGGAATGGCGAGGGAAAAGAGCCAATTTGAAGAGAAGGCAAGAACATGAGCTTTGAAGCTAGAGGAAGCTGGGGTTCCTAAACTCTGCTCTGCTACTTTCTTGCTGTGTGAACTGTTTCTTGCTGTGTGCCACTTTCTTGCTGGGTGATCAAGTTATTCAGCCTGAGTCTTTTTTCTATAAACCAAGGAATGTTACCCATCACGGTGGTTTGTGAGGATTAGAACAAAAATGGAAGATAAAATAGTCTGGAACCTGGCAGGCACTTCCATAGGTGATTATGACAGAAGACACTATCCTCTCTGGGAGTTATCTGACCTAGGGCCAAATTGCTTTCACTCTCTAATGACTAATGGATTGGCATGCTGGTCTTTCTTTTGTCCTGGCCACCTGAACAACTCAGTCCTGGGAGTCCTGACAGGCAATTTCCTTGGAATTAGCTTAATAATACCTCGTAGGTGTGTGATGCATTTCAAAGAACTTTCCCACCATTATCTTCTGTCCTGGGAGGCAGCAGGGCACAGAAGGAGCATGGCTCAGAGAGGTGGAATGCTTGCTCAAGGTCACTCGGCAGATGACCACCGCAGCCCTTTTTAGCCTTCCACGGTACTGAAACTTCCGAGCAAACGGGAGGCAACATGCTGTGGCAGAAAAGGGTATAAGACGTTGAGCTCAATGCCTGGCTCTACTGCAGTTCATGGTGTAATGTGGGGCCTAGGACCTCAGAACCGCTGCCTTAGAATCAGCTTCCTTTACAGATGCAGAAACTGGGGCTCAAGAGAGGCAAAGTCCCTAGCCTGAAGTTATACAGGTAAGAGGTGACAGAGCAGGGATTTATGTCCCTTTATGGTCGTCTCTAAAGCCAGCACAGCACACCTAAAAAACAATCCAAGATAGACCCAACCCAGGCCTTGTAGGTGGTTTGGGGCAAGGGTTCCTCACATGAGGATTGAAGTCTGCTATTGCTCTGCACTGTGTGTGTATTTTTTTAAGAGAGTGTTCATATCTTCCTTCAGATCAGAGTGACCAGGACACAGAACAGGTTAAGAACCACTGATCAGGCTGGGAGTTTGGTTGGCAATGCCAGAGGTTCTCCTCCTCCCCCATGCCCCTGTTCACCCCAGCAAGCTCACCAGGGTTAAGGCACTAAAGGTGATGACGTGACCTGTTTGTTATGAAATATTGAAGTAATTCATGCCAGGGACCAACACACAGATGAGATCATACCATAAACAGGAATCTCTAGTAAGGCCAGGCACCTGGTGAAGCCCACCTGGGGAGCCACCAGGGGTGTGGGGGAAGGCATGGGTTGGGATCTTGCTCTCTGCCCCACTGCCAGGCCTGGCCTCAAGGAATGGCCAGTCCCCAGCCCTGCTCCTGTTCACCACAATCAAGTCACGGTTCAAATCCCATCTCTACCTCTCAAAGGCTGTGAAAACCTGGTTCAGAAGCATTACCCACAGAGGTTCCCTTTCCCCATTTCTGAAATAGGGATAGGGATGCTTACAGAATAGGTTCCCAATGGAGGTGATGTAGAAATACCAGCAGAAATGAGGACTGTGGAGTCTCTGCCTCACATTCCTTGTTCAGGGTCGGACTCCACAACCACCTAGCATTAAAGAAGGGATTACTATCAGTACTTCCCAACCAGCATCCAAATCTTTATCCATTTCAGGAGACCTCCCTCTTTTTTCCAACTTTGGAAGCCCGCAAGGAAGCCAGCCCAGAGAGCAAGAAGGAAATGAAACCAGGCCCAGTTATCAGTTTATTCATTTTTGGAATTGGTCTATCAACCACCACCCATGCCTGGGCACCAGGTGAAGCAAACTTGAGGCTCTCCTCTTACCACATCCCCTGCTAGAAAGGCATAGTCAATAGTAACAATAAAGAGGAAAGCTACTGCTAGATCTCAAGGGACATGAAAACTCAGTTTTCAAGTTGCCTGAGCCACCAACTTTCAAGTTGCCTGAGCCACCAACTTGCTGGGCAAGCTTGCACCAGTCTCTGGTTTCATCTCTGAAATAATGAGCAGAGCCCAGAACTTTTCTCTGCACCCATCCCTCAATGGACATGAGACTCCCATCATGAACCCTTCTCTCTCCACCCCATCCCCTCTCAACCAGGCAGTTTTTCATTTCCCTCTCGTAGAATAAGCAAGTTCACTTTCCCAAAGCTCCCAAAATTCGGCCATGTGCGAGAAAGCATCATTAGTACTTAATGGAGACGGGTGTCATCATATACACAAGTGTTTAAAAATCGTTTATTATGCAAAATGTTAACTTTTATAAAAAGTTTAATATACATCGCATTGTTACAGAAAGTCACCTTCCTGTAAAAAAGGTACAAAACCTATATACTCTATTATAGAGTTCATAAATCAGGGCAACAGAACCTTTCTCCAAGGAGACCAGAAGACCAGCTCTGCCGCCGCCTTGGCATAGTTTGGAGAGCAGCCACTCCTTCCACACCTCCACGCTCTGAAGAGACCTTAGAACTTGGGGGTGGGGTGGGAGCAGGGTGACGTCGCCCAGCTGGTGGCCAGAGCTAGCTCTGGCTCTTCAGGCCACAAGTTCACAGTCCTTCGCTCCTGAGCACCAGGTTTAGTCTCCAGGAAGGGATTTGGTGAAGTCAAGTGGGCAGGGCGAAGTTGGGGCCCATCCCTGCCGTCCGGCTTCCGGCAGGAGAGGTTCCCGGGGTCCCAGGCAGAACGGGCGCCAGCACCTGCGTTCTGGGCGGGGGAGGAAAGAAGACCAAGGAGCAGTCAGTTTCCGCCGAGCGTGCCGAGGCGGGGGCCGTCCGCAGACTGGCCGGCGCCAGGGAGGAAACTTGGTCTGTACCTCCAGCTGATAACTCCGCGCCCCACGCTGCCCCCACCCAGTTGGCGCCAAAGACCACAGGCGGAGCTTGCGCTACCCCTCCTACTTGGAATTGACACTAGCTGGGAGGGGGCTGCCGAAGACAGCTCCCTATACAACATGGAACAGAAAGACTTGTATTTAGTCGGACCCATGTCTACTTTGCCAGACCCTCGGCCACTGCGGGAGGGCAGGGCCCAGGCGCATTTAAGGCTTAAATGCACATCACATGGAAACTGACTCTGCCATTCATTTGATGCAACCATGGGCAAGTCACTTGTCCCTCTCTGGCCTCAGTTTCCCTAAACCGAGTGAGTGGCAATTTTTCAAAACGTCTGCCAACTCCAGGACTTGCCGTTTAAACCTCCCTCTCCAAGAGAGGAGATACTCACCTGGAGGTGTCAGGACACGGCCGAGTCAGTGGCAAAAGCTCCTTTTGTCGTTGGAGATGACAAGTTCCGGAGTGAGCTCGGCTGTCTGATTAGAGGAAAAGAGGGAAGAGTTACGCGAGGCAATCGGGAGCTCCGAGGGTCCCGCAGCATCCTTGCCTGGGTGTTCAGCCCTGTCCCGACTTCGAGGCTTACCTGGATGGGAAGGTGGGGGCCATCAGGGGGTCCAGGGGCTGGCTCGGCCAGGACTACCTGCAGGTCGAGAATGTAGTCGATGACGCGCTGTAGGATTTCCACCTGGCTAAGCTGAGTGCCTCTCGGGACTCCGGGTACCAGTTCCCGCAGGCGGGAGTAGCAGTGGTTCATGTCGTCCAGCAAGCTCAGCGGCTCCTCAGCTGCCGGGCCCTTCCCTCGGCCCCGGGCGATGGCCAGACTGCGTTCCGACAGGCAGCACACCGCCTCGTAGCAGCCGCGCACCGGGCTCAGCGCCTTCATGCTGGGGAGTGAGTCCAGAGGTGCCCCAAAGAGAAAGAAAACCAAAAGAAGTCCCGCTACAGTGACCTGCAACGCGCGCACGCTCGCCGCGGCGGTCACTTATAGAGCCTGCCTGGAAGGCACGCCTCTTTATTCAAAATGGCCCGCCTCGGCCCTGCCCCCGCCGGCCCTGGGCGTTCACAGCCCGCTTAAATTGCAAACAGGCTTCCTCCGGCTGGTCTGACGCCGAAGACCGCGGAGCCGCGGATTCAAAGAATGAGGAAGCGCTGATACCGGGGAGAGGCGGGCCTCTCCGCCAGCAAGGATTTAAAAATCACTCAAAACCATTAACTTCCAGAATTTGCTTTTTCCTGGCAGCACCCCAGATCTTTGAGCTTCCCTGCCCCCTGCCAGTCCGCCTTTAGCCCAACACTGGTTCGAGCCACAGCTCCTCCGAGGTCATAAATCCCTGAACAGCAAAGAAGCTCCCCCCACCCCCCGTTTTTTTTAAGCGAAAGATTTTTCAAGGGAAACTTGTAAGGAATTAGTGCCGCCTTGTTCCCCAATTTGCTGTTCGTCTGACCTCCAGACTCACTGGCGTCAGGAATTATCTTGTGACCAGAGGGAAAAAAAATTAATTGCGGTGAAGCTGAGGTTACAATGAAGAAAACAGATTTGCGCTAGGCGCTGAGATTGCAGAAGGAGGAGGGAAAGGGGGTTTGAGCAAAGAACACTATTTATTTGAGCAACAGGGGAAAAGAAGAAAGCTTGAGCCCATGCTTTTTGCATGGGGAAAAAAGGAGCCTGGACCCTCTGCCCCATAAACTCCATAACGAACTAAATATATGCACAGTTGTGCTTTGTGAGTTCAATTAGAATTTTGGACAAGGTTTTAAATATGGAGGCACAGATGGGACAATTTCTACATAAACCTTTTTAAGAGCCCCCCCCCACCCAATTGGGTCAGCAAATTTCTTAACTTCCCCTCTCTTCACTTTCCACACACCTCTGTGTAGAAAACAGTGGTAATTTCATTGCTCTATTGTCTGTCCCTTTCTGCTATGGAAGGGCAGGCCACCTGGACTTGATTATTCTTAGCCCTGCTGAAGTAGCTCCAGCTCCATCTGAAAGACCAGGAAAGGAACCAGAGGGCCGGCAAACTAAGTCCTGTATTGCAACAGGACACTGTGCTCAGTATTCTTTGATTCTTTGCTTGCCTTCTTGTCACCTCCCTAGACATTTGGGGACCTGCACTTCCAAGATGCTGCTTTCCATTTTGGAAATGACCAAGTGGGATTCCCCCAATAGTTGCTTTCCTAATGAATCATTGGTGAATATTTATGGAGTCCCTCCGCATAAAACAGTGGCTCCTGCTTTCAAGAATCTCACAATTTGGGGAGACAAGATTAACACAGGAAACAAGAGTTCGATAATGTGTGGCACTGATTAACAGGACAAGGGGGGCTCAGAGCCAAAGAGAGTCGCAAAACGGTTGAAAAGGACACTGACTGGGAATTGAGAGCCCTGGGTTCATCATGCTAGCCCTGACAATAATTTGTCATGTAATCTTGAACAAGCCCAGGTACTCTGGCTTTAATTGCCTTGTGAGTAAAATAGACGATGGTACTAAGTGATTATTTAAAATCCTTTCCAATTGTAGAAGTCCAAGGTTGTGTGAAATTTGGATATGTAGGTGAAAGATGCTGAGGGGCCCAAGGAAGGCATTTAAGACATGCCCAATGTCACACTACAAGTAATAGCAGAGCCAGTCTTGAAGCCTCGTTCTTTTCCATCAAACCACAGGGCTCTGTGGCCCAAGAAAGATTTCTTCCTGGAATGTTTTTTTCAAGGACAGGCTCTTCAGTAAGAAAAGAGGAAGAAAACCTGTGAGTGGGCAAGTCAGTCTTTACATGCTACAGCCGTCAAGTGCCAGCTATTTGGTCAGGAAAGGCAAAATAATGGCTGTAGGAACTCCTGAATAACCGAAGAGAAGATCCTTCTTTTCCTATCTTGCAGACTTCTGTGGCAAAACGGTCAAGTCCAGAGGGTTCTAGAAAAATCACGGGCCAGGCAGATTTCTGTGCAAATGCCCATTCTTCTTCTTCTTCTTCTTTTTTTGTTTAAACTAATTGTGTAGACTTTGGCTGAGTTATCCTGGGTGCTTCTATTTTCCCATCTATAAAATGGAACTAATTGGGTCTACTCATTCATTCATTCGATAATTATTGAATGCCTCTTCTCTGCAAAGCACTTGATGTGTTCACTCCATCTGATCTTAGTCTTCTTACTGCCTGGGGGACCCAGCATGGGCCAGTTGTGTGGAAGGTGCTCAGTCTACCCAGATTCTCCTCCCTTCTTTTCCTTCCTCTACTACTGCAGCTGATGCCTCAGGCTTGTATAGTGATTTAGGTTTGCAAAGCACCTTCGCATTTATTATTTCCCAGGATGCTTCCAGGCTGAAATGCCCATGGGCTGTGTGACATAAGGCAGAAGGATGCTGTGGAATTAGCAAGCAAAATTCTGTTCTGTGCATGCCAATAATTTGCAGTGTGCCCTTGGACGAATTTCCTCCCTTCCTGGGCTTCATTTTCTCTTTAAAAAAAAAAAAAAAAAAAAGATAGTGGGTAGGTTGGGAGGAAGCAAGTGCCCTTTAATGGTCCTCTCTAGCCTAAGATTCTAATTCTGAAAGAAGCAGGTTATGGTTAGGAACACTGAATAGTGTTTAAACCCAAGAGACTTCTTTTTCCCCACAGCAGACTGGACAGGCTAGCTCAGGCCTTCTGCAACTTGTTTAGCAGTGGTGGGGCCTCAGCCTCTTATTCCAAATGCCTCTGAACTTTCTGTTCCCAGTTCTGCTCCTTTTACCAGCTTTTTCCCCCCTCTTGCATTTTTTATTTTTATGAAAGGATGTCATTAAGGCTTTTGTCTGCGCTGTTTTTGTTTCAGAACTTTTCTCACAATCCTATTTTTTGTTGAGGAATCCGCTCCTTTGCCCAGCTGTGGGTCCCGGTCCCACAGCTGTGTTGATCTAAGACTCAGCCCCAGACAGCCTGGCGCCAGGGTGGGACGTCATGCGTTCACACAGGGATGCGTGTCCCAGGCAACCTTTCCTCGGGCAGTCACCGGCCGGCGACTGCCTCCCCCACCAATGAGCGCCGGACACCCGAGAAAGGGGCGGGGTCTGCATCGCCCCAACCGCGAGCGGCTTGTGAATTGCAGATGCTGAGAACTTGATAATGTTGCTTCAATTGGGGCCCTTTAAAGTCTTTTTTTTTCTTTCTCTTTTAGTTCTTTATTTTCTTTTGTCTATTCCCTTTCTTTCCACCTTCTTCCTTTATCTATATATGTGTATAATTTTTCTTCTTCTTTTTTCTAACTATCTCCTCCCAGTGTCAGGAATCATTTTGTAAGCATTTCCAGGAACTCAATCTTCCTCTGCCAAAATAAAAAAAAGAAAAAAAAATTCAATGTTGTGCTCTCTGATTTTTTTTTTTTTGAGAAGTTGGCAGAACTCTTTAAGTTATACTGTTTTGTTTTTTAAAAAATTTTAGAATTTTTTAATTTCGTGGTAGTGGGCTCTCTAAATTGTTGATTTCAAAGTCAAAGTAATGATGACAAGGATTGCAGATGCCTTTTTGTCTAAGCTGAGCCTCTATTTATTATCTATCTATCATCTTTTTCCCATTTATGTCCCAGACATGGGGATCATGGGGACCTCAGAAACTTGCTCACGTTTACTTGGGATGTCAGTAGCTGGCCTATGGCCAGAACCCAGACCTCCTCTCATTTGACTCTCTGTCCACTCTGCCCTCTCTCTCTTTTTTTTTTTTGGGATGGAGTCTCACTCCGTCGCCCAGGGTGGAGTGCAGTGTTGTGATCTCGGCTCACCGCAACCTCCACCTCCTGGGTTCAAACGATTCTTCTGTCTCAGTCTCCTGAGTAGCTGGGACTACAGGCGCACGCCACCACACCCGGCTAATTTTTGTATTTTTAGTAGAGACAGGGTTTCACCATATTGGTCAGGCTGGTCTCGAACTCCTGACCTCATGATCCGCCCGACTTGGTCTCCCAAAGTGCTGGGATTACAGGTGTGAGCCACCGCGCCCGGCACTCTTAATAGCATTAGGGTGGTCTTAGAACATTCCCAAATGCCACATTTCATAATATGTATCTCCTTGCTCATAAGTGCCTAGAAGGTGTGGTGAGGACTTTGCAGTCACACACATAGAACATCCCTTCTCCTTCTCCTCCCCTCAGAGAGTCTGGAGCCCAAAGTATTGCTTGAGATTCAGGTGATACAAGGAAAGCACAGGGGATTCAGAATCAAGACCAGGCTCAATCCTTGCCCTGACTTCTCCTACCTTCACTCTGTCTCAGCTGTCTCTTCTATTAAATTGGGAGGAAAATACCATCCATCTACCTCACAGCTGGGAGAGTCAAAGGGGACAAGGGATGGAAAATGGTGTGGGAAACAGTTATTTTTATGTGCTGTAATGTGATGTAGCCCCTGTTGAGTGGGATAGGTGGTACCAAGTGAGTTGAGTGGTCCCTGCTGAGGCTGTTGTCAGGAATGTGAGGAGCATCAGGATCTAAGGCATGAGTCCTTACAGGGGTGGGGATTTCAAAGGCCTCCAGGATGGGCTACTCTCTAACTCAGAAGCACTCAGCGCCACCGCCACCATCATCATTCATTGAGTTCTGTTTGCCAAGTCCTGTTTGCCTTCTTACACATTTTCCCGCTGATCCCTTTTATAGACAGAGAGACAGTGGCTCAGAAAGGTGAATGTGCTTGCCCAAGGTCACATAGCTAGATAAGTGGCAGGTCCAAGATTTGCACCCAGGTCTGCCTGTCTCCCAAAGCCTGTATCCTCCTGCACCTATGCTTCTCCTTCTGCCCTCACAAAGGACCTCCTGGGAAGGTAGCTTGGACTTGAGAGGGTTTTATTCTACCAGATAGGGAAAAGCAAAGGTAAATCCATTAGGTAGGGAGACAGACACCGAAGTGTTGGGGTACTAGGGGAAAACATTGTTTTCTGTGCAGAGAGACTCAGAAAGCATTGGAATTTGTTGGAAATCTAAAGCTTTTCCTCCCTCAAATCCTCCCTCAAAGACCTTCCTATCCATACTTACGTTTTAGGAGATGTTTATTCTTTTTTTTTTTTTTGGAGACAGAGTTTCACTCTGTCACCCAGGCTGGAGTGCAATGGCATGATCTCGGCTCACTGCAATCTCTGCCTCCTGGGTTCTAAGCTATTCTCCTGCCTCAGCCTCTGGAGTAGCTGGGATTACAGGCACGAGCCACCACGCCCGGGCTAATTCCAGGCTGGTCTCAAATTCCTGACCTCAAGTGATCCACCCACCTAGGCGTCCCAAAGTGCTGGGATTTCAGGTGTGAGCCACTGTGCCCGGCCAGATTATTCTTAAAGCAAGTACACAGTAACTATTCCTGTTTTTAGGAGTCAGCTTTAGAGTTGAGCTCCCTCTTCTAACCCAGAGTCAGCCTAGCTTCAGTCAGCCACAACGCCCTGAAGTTAATTAACCCCTTACTTCAGCAGGCAGGCAGTAACTACAGAATGCCCACGGACCATCTGGGATTGAGGGCTGAGCACCCACAGGGAAGCAGGAAGGGAATTCATTTTCTGAGGAACTGTCATGTGTTCAAAGTTTCATAAATTTTATTTTAATAATTGGCCCTCGAGTTTTTTTGGGTAGGTATTATCATGATCATTTTCTCCACAAAAATACTGAAATTCAGCTGGGCATGGTGGCTCACATCCGT
Organism: Homo sapiens; assembly: GCF_000001405.40. Classification (NCBI taxonomy): domain Eukaryota; kingdom Metazoa; phylum Chordata; class Mammalia; order Primates; family Hominidae; genus Homo; species Homo sapiens. Next base: position 335,164 of record NW_014040926.1, read on the forward strand.
AATCCCAGCCCTTTGGGAGGCTGAGGTGGGCGGATCACCTGAGGTCAGGAGTTTGGAACCAGCCCGGCCAACATGATGAAACCCCATCTCTACTAAAAATACAAAATTTAGCCGGGTGTGGTGGCGGGTGCCTGTAATCCCAGCTACTCAGGAGGCTGAGGCAGGAGAATCGCTTGAACCCAGGAGGCGGAGGTTGCAGTGAGCCGAGATCACACCGCTGCACTCCAGCCTGGGCAACAGAGCGAGACTCCGTCTCAAAAAAACAAAAAACAAAAACCAAAAAAACGAAACAAAACAAAAACTGAAGTTCAAAGAGATTTATCCACACAGCTGACGGGGAAAAGGAGAAAACAATCAGAATTTGAATCCAGGCCTATGGCTCAAACACTGATACACACAAAGACAGAGATCTTCAAGCTGCTCAGTGTCCAGACACAAAAGGACTGGTTCCCTCATCCTTGCACTTCTAGGCTAATGAGTACAGAGACAGCCTTTGCCTCATTTCTCTGTTAAGGGAAAAGTTTGAAACTTCTAGACTTTGGAGAGCATCAGTAGGTTATGTAGGAATTTAACTCAGACTTAACAAACAGCAAAAGAAAAAGAATTATGAACTCATAATGCAGAGTTTCACTACTTCCAAAGCAATTTCATTCAGTTTCATTGAACATTCCCCGCAACCTTGTGGGGCACACAGCTCACCTGCTTCGTAATCAAGTCTTATTTGTCTCCCTGGAGTCAGTATCCTTCACGGTGCCTGGCACCAAGTAGGCACTTAATAAAGTTGTACTGAATTAAGTTCCACCCCATTAATTGCTTTTGGGAGACAACTTAGAGGGGGGATTTGAGACTCAAATGCAGGCTGTGCTGGATGACTGATTCTATGACTCCCAGGCATAATGTTCTTTGCTGTAGACAGATGCTGATGGTTGGATTTGGGACCCCACTAATCAGGGTTCAGGAAAGGCCTTAGAATGATGGGGTCCAAGGTAAGAAAAGATGAAGTCCAAAAAAGGCCTTGAAAAGCAATATTCACCTGCCCAAATGTGTTGGCCTAGGTCTCAGCAGTAGTTCAATGGCTGAGAGAGTAGAGAGGTCGGGAAGGGAGGGATGTGGCCTGGGGACCGAGCTGACCCTGCCTGAGAGGAAAGGGCTTCCCTGACCCTAACCGGGCCAGAGCTCTGCAGTGAGCTAGAGATACGGGGGTGCCAGAAAGCAGAGGTAGGGGCGCAGCTCAGAGAGAGCCTCCTGCTGGCCACAGCTATCCCTGAGTGTAATCAAGTGGCCCAAGCATCAGCAGGCTTAGGAGGATCTTTTGCAAAGTGCCAGTCATGAACCAGACATTTTACATGTATTATCGCCCTCAATTCTCATATCAGTTGAGGCTCAGAGAGGTGAAGTGACTTGCCCAAGGTCACACAGCAACTGGGAGGCAGAACAGAGTCCAGAGTTTATGGTTTGCAGCATGAGCCAGGCCACCAATTGGCGGGAGAAAGGAATCAAATGCTGGAGAATGGGAACTGTCTTAATAAGAAACTGGGGGCTGGGCATGGTGGCTCAGACCTGTAATCCTAGCACTTTGGGAGGCCGAGGTGGGCGGATCACCTGAGGTCAGGAGTTTGAGACCAGCCTGGCCAACATGGTGAAACCCCATCTGTACTAAAAATACGTAAGTTCGGCTGGGCGCGGTGGCTCACGCCTCTAATCGCAGCACTTTGGGAGGCTGAGGTGGGTGGATCATGAGGTCAGGAGATCGAGACCATCCAGGCTAACGCTGTGAAACCCCGTCTCTACTAAAAATACAAAAAATTAGCCGTGTGTGGTGCTGGGCGCCTGTAGTCCCAGCTACTCGGGAGGCTGAGGCAGGAGAATGGTGTGAACCCAGGAGGCGGAGCTTGCAGTGAGCCGAGATCGCAAGCCACTGAACTCCAGCCTGGGCGACAGAGCGAGACTCTGTCTCAAAACAACAACAACAACAACATAAGTTCGCTGGACGTGGTGGCTCATGCCTAAAATCCTAGCTACTCAGTAGACTGAGGCAGGAGAATCGCTTGAACCTCGGCAGTGGAGGTTGCAGTGAGCCGAGATCATGCCACTGCACTCCAGCCTGGGTGACAGAGTGACTCCGTCTCAAAAAAAGGAAGTATGTATTTGACATGGATTTTGTTTCACAGAACTTTATGGTGTCAGGCAGTGTGTGTGTGTGTGTGTGTGTGTGTGTGTGTGTGTCTCAGTTTCTTTCTTTTTTTGAGAGGAAGTCCCACTCTGCTGCCCAGGCTGGACTTTAGTGGCGCAATATTGGCTCACTGCAGACTCCAACTTCCGGATTCAAGGGATTCTCCTACCTCAGCCTCCTGAGTAGCTGGGATTACAGGCGTGCGCCACCACGCCCAGCTAATTTTTATATTTTTTGTAAAGACGGTGTTTCGCCATGTTGGCCAGGCTGGTCTCAAACTCCTGACCTCAAGTGATCCGCCCGCCTCAGCCTCCCAAAAGTGCTGGGATCACAGGCGTGAGCCACCGCGCCCGACCTCAGTTTCTGAGTGTATTCCTACCTGAGAATATGCTGTCCACCCTTGTCTGAGTGTGGGGCTGTCCTTGGGGGCTGTGCGCGGGGTGCGCCTATGTGTCTTCCTCCCTGGGTGTTTCAGCCTGCTGTGTGTGATGTGTCCCCGGGTCTAGTATAGGATCTTCCCTGGGTGTGCGGCTTTCTATGTGCGTGCTTCAGTGTATGTCCATCTTCCCCCAATCTCCTAGCCAGGTGCGGAACAGGGCCAAGAGGACAATAGGCTCGAGCGCCCAGGTGGCCTTTTCCTCCACTCCCTCACCCACCGCGACCCTCCCCTCCTGCACCCCGCGCCCTGACTGCCCCCTCTCTGGCCCTGCCCGACCTTCCGCGGCCCTCCCTGCCCGCGCCCCGGCGGCCCCACCCTGGCCCTACCCGGCCCTCCCCGCCCGCGCCCCGCGCCCGGCGGCCCCAACCCCCGGCGGTCCCGGACGCGCAGCTGCGGGACACACAATCGCCGGCGCCCCCTCTCCGCCCCCCGCGCAGCCCCTCGTCCAACAAAAGCCGCTTTCTTTCCCCACAACAGATTAAAGACCAGGAGGGGGTGAAAAATAGCTTCTCCGGCCACTGGCGGGGGAGGGGCGCGGGAAAAGCTGGGACTTTGGGGACTCTTTGATAGCGAGTGTGTGGGAAACCCGAAGGAATGTGGCTGTTCGGACCGCCGCGGCGGGGCCAGGCGCCGGGAGGAGGGTCCGCACCTCCCCCGCTGGGACTCCCGGGACCTCCCGGACCCCCGCGGCCCCAGCGTCCCTGCGGCCCCGGCGTCCCCACGCCCCACGCCGCCAGCGCCCTGCACGCCGCCTCCCGCCAGCTGAGCGTCTCCCGCGCCCCCTGCTTTTCCTCCCCTAGTCAATTTCCTCACATTCTAATTTCCTTACTTTCTTCTCACTTTCCCTTCCAATTCTCCTTTTCGCGAGTCCCCTATTCTCGTCCTCCACCTCTTTCTCTATGTCTTTTGCTCAAGTCTGTTCCCCTCGTCTCCCTCCCCGGGTCTTTATCTTGATCTATACATTCTTTTTTTTTTCTCTTTGTCTGGGACACACTCTGTGTCTCTTTGTTTCCGTGTCTCTTGCTATTTCTTGGTGGCTTTCCTGGGTTGGGTCCCAGGGATGGTGGATTTAGCACCGTCGCTGTCGCCCTTTCTCCTGCCCATCTGGAAGGGCTGGGAAAAGCAGGCCAGGGTGTGGGCAGTTTGTTTAAATGTCCCTCTCCCGCCACACACGTGTGAGTGCAGGTGGGCGCTGGGCAGGGAAGTCTGGGGAGCCCAGGAACACCCAGGGAGGAGCTGTGGGGAGGCCTGGCCAGCTAGACCAGGATGGAGCAGGGATGGGGGGACTCGTGGAAGCCTCCAAGGGTTTGGAATTATTTTTGGCCCGGTATAATTCAGTCTCTGAAAGGAATTCCTGGCCCAGGACCGGATGGTGGCCTTGGGACCCTTATGGGAAATGAGTTGGGTCTCCTGGCCCCCTCCTCTCTAGTCCTTGGGACAGGCTAGTGGGAGGAAGGGGGCTGGTTCAAGACAAAGGGCTTCCAGGTGGCTGAGGAAGGAGACCTTCCATGTGAAGACAGCGTGGTACAGTGGGGAACTCAGCCCTGGATCTTGGAATCCCAGCTTTCCCCTGGGCTCTGCCACTCCCTGACAACCTGGGCGAATCCCTTCTTCCTCTCTGGGCGTCAGTTTCCCCACCTGTAAAATGAGATGTTTGGACCAGTGGCCTTCAGCCTTTTTTTCCACCCTCAGATTGTAAGGTCTGATTTGTTCCAAATGCATTGCTTATATTAATGAATCTGCTTTCATATTTTGTGTTTATGAAAGACAAGCATTCAGTCAGGCTTTCTGATTAGCATGCTTCATTACCATGCAGAACTGGTCTAATTCAAAGAACAAAGACACCCCAGCCAAAGATACCCTAGACAGACTCTCGAACAGAGATACCCCAATTCCAGCTAAAGACACCCCAGACAGACCCCAAAAGCTCTTGGTGTTTTAGTAGTCTGTGCAGCAAAATCCCATGGAAGAAGAGCACAGGCTTTGCAGTCAGACAGCTTGGGTTTGAATCCTGACTCTGCCAGTGTCCAGCTGTGACCTTGGGGAGGTCACACACACCCTCCCTCAGTTTTCTTATCTGGAAAAAAGAAATATTCATGATATCCACCCCCACATAATTGTATTATATCAGATAACAGATACAAAAATTTAAGAAATAGGTGCTCAATGAGAGTTAGGATGTTGATGCTTTATACGAATGCTGTCCAATAGAACAATAATGCAAGCCACAAATGTAATTTTAAATTTTCCAGCAGCTATAGTTAAAAAAGCAAGGACAGTGAAATTAATTTTTTTTTGAGATAGGGTCTTGCTCTGTTGCCCAGGCTAGAGTGCAGTGGTGTGATCATGTTCAAACTGCAGCCTCGATGTCCTGGGTTCAAGTGATCCTCCCACCTCAGCCTCCTGAGTAACTGGAACCACAGATGCGTGCCACCAAGCCCGGCTCATTTTAAAATTATTTGTAGAGACAGGGTCTCACTATGTTGCCCAGGCTGGTCTCAAAACCCTGGACTCAAGCTATCCTCCCACCTCAACCTCTCAAAGTGTTGGGATTACAGGTGTGAGCCACTGTATCTGGCCTTAAAATTAATTTCAGTAATATACTTTACCTAATCCAATATATTCAAAACATTATTTCAACATGTGATGAACACAGAAAAACTATTATTCCTACATTATTTTTTATACTTAGTCATCAAAATCTCGTGTCTTTAATTCAGCACATCTCAGTTTGGACTAGATACATTTCAAATGCTCTGTAGCCACACATAGCTAGTGGCTACCAATTGAAAAACTCTGGTACTCCAGATGTGTGCCACCACACCTGGCTAATTTTTTTTAAAAAATTGTGTAGAGATGAGGTCTTGCTATGTTGCCCAGGCTGGTCTCAAACTCTTGGCCTCAAGCAGTCCTATCATCTCAGCCTCCCAAAGGAATTACAGTCATGAGCCACCATGCCCAGCCCAGATGAGATTTTGGTACGTGAAGACAGGGCAGGAGAAAGACTGGAGGGAAGGGGGCAGAGAATGGTATGAACAAAGCTGCTCAGGTGCAGATCACTTGATTGGGCAGGAGCGAGGAGGTGGAGAGGTGCAGGCCAGGATTGCAGAAGTAGATGGAGGTGGGGTATCTGGAGAGCTTTGAATGCCAGGCTAAAGAGCACAAATAATGTAAGCATACTTCCAGGGGGAAAAAAAAAAGAATTTGGTCAGTTTTTTCAGAGTGACTGTGGTTATGAGATCCACTTTATTCAGGGAAGAAGGCAGCCGTTCTCTGGGTACTGTAACTATTCCTGTTTCTATTGAAACCTGTTAGTGCTAACTATCATTTACTGAGGATTTACTATGACCAGGCGCTATGCCAAGCACTTTGTGTTAATAATCCTGTTTAATTATCTCAGCGAACCCTCATATGCTGCTGATGGGAAGGTAAAACTTCGGAAAACAGCTTGGCCATTTTTAAAAGTTAAATATCAGCCGGGTGTGGTGGCTCACGCCTGTAATCCCAGCACTTTGGGAGGCCGAGGCGGGCGGATCACCTGAGGTCAGGAGTTCGAGACCAGCTAACCAACATGGAAAAACCTCGTCTCTACTAAAAATACAAAATTAGCCGGGTATGGTGGCACATGCCTGTAATCCCACTGTAATCCCAGCTGCTCGGGAGGCTGAGGCAGGAGAATCACTTGAACCCAGGAGGCAGAGGTTGCAGTGAGCTGAGATCGCTCCGTTGCACTCCAGCCTGAGCAACAAGAGCAAAACTCCGTCTCAAAAAAAAAAAAAAAGTTAAACAGCAATTTATCACATGACCTAGCAGTTCTTCTCCTAGATCTCTACCCAAGAGAAATGAAAACAAGTCTACCCAGAAACTCATACAGGGATGTTCACAGCAGCATTGTTCATGATAGCAAAAAAGTGGAAATGACTCAAATGGCCATCAGCTGATGAATGGATCAACAAAATGTGGTGTATTCATACAATGGAATATTATTCAGCTATAAAAAAGGAATGAACTACTAATCTACACAATAAATAGATGGACCTCAAAAAATATGCTTACATGAAAGGAGCAAGACACAAAGGACCACATACTGTGCAGTTCCATTTATGTGAAATTTCTAAAAGAAATTTCTATAAATTTCTAAAAATTTATAGAGACAGAAAGTAGATTAATGGTTGCCTGGGACTGGGGGACAGAAGGGGAGTGACTGCTAATGGATACAGGGTTTTATGTGGGGGTGATGAAAGTATTCTGGAATTGATGTGATGGTTGCACGACTCTGTAAATGTGCTAAAAATCATTGAATTATATACATAAATATTGGTGAATTTTCTAGTATGTAAATTAAACACCAATAAATCTCTTTTTAAAAATTCTCCCAACAACTTTTTTTTTTTTTTTTTTGGAGACAGGGTCTTGCTCTGTTGCCCAGGCTGGAGTGCAGTGGCCTGATCATGGCTCACTGCAGCCTCAACCTTCATGCTTAGGCAATCCTCCTGCCTCAGCCTCCCGAGTAGCTGGAACCACAGGTACATGCCACCACAGCTGGCAAATTTTTTTTTTTTTTTTTGAGATGAAGTCTCACTCTGTCGCCCAGGCTGGAGTGCAGTGGTGCAATCTCGGCTCACTGCAAGCTCCGCCTCCTGGGTTCACACCATTCTCCTGCCTCAGCCTCCTGAATAGCTGGGATTACAGGCGCCCACCACCATACCCAGCTAATTTTTTTGTATTTTTAGTAGAGACGGGGTTTCACCATGTTAGCTAGGATGGTCTCGATTTCCTGACCTCGTGATCTGCCTGCCTGGTCCTCCCAAAGTGCTGTGATTATAGGATTATAGACCACTGCGCCCGGCCCAATTTTTTTGTACTTATTTGTAGAGACAGGGTCTCTCTATGCTGCCCAGGCTTCCAAACAACTTTTGTGACAGATACTATTATCATCCCATTTCACAGTTGCGGAAGCATCAGAAAGGTGAAGCCACCCGCCTAAGACCGAAGAGCTAGAAGCAAAAGAGCCAAATTTCAAAACTGCAAAGTGTTCCTGACCTCTGGGCTGTCCTGCTTCCTGGAAATTGCTTGGGCAGTGCGCTCCATCTTCCTGGGGCATTTAACCCACAAGTTTGCTAGCAGCCATGTTTTCAAGCTGCAACAACTACTTCTTGGATGGTGAGAATTGGGAGAGATGGCAGAAGGCCTGGGGAAGAGTGGGGATGCTGGGAAAGCCTCCTGGTGAGAAAGCTCAGGCCACAGCTGGGCCAGGGACATCCACAGCAGTCTCCAGGCTCTGACACCCCCTCCCCAACCCTGACTCCCTCCCAGGGGAGAGAATAACTTGGCTCCAAAGCTGAGGCCAGAATATAAGCCAGAGACCTGCTGACCTGACCCCCCCACCCTGGAATCTACTGAATCTGGGGCCAGGAGCAAGGAAGGGCTGACCCCAAACTGAACAAATCAAAAAGCCAAGTTCCCCTCTGAGCCCTGCAATTTTTTTTTCTTTTGGACCAAATAAGGAAGGAGCACCTGTTACTTTATAATCATACTGTAGGACAGCCTCGAGTTGAAAGCCATGGGATCTGGAGTCTTGAAAACGCGGTTCAAGCTCCTATCTTTTCTATTTCCAAACTCAGTGTCCTAGAGCAACTCACTCACTTTCCCCAAGCTTCAGTTTTTCTATCTATGAAATAGACAATGATACTCCTGTTAAGAGGGCGCTTGTAAGGATTTGGGGGACCAGAGGTTAAATTCGCTTCATTTTAGTTCACCTACGTTACTTATGTTTTGTTACATGTCTTAAGTTATGGTTTTAATAATCCCCCCACTCAAAAATAAACAAGATTAAAAGAATAATGAAAATAGTTAATAATAAGTGTCAACATTTATGGGCACTGATTTTGTGCTGTTTCAAGTGCTTTATACACATTAACTCATTTATCTTCATAAAAAGCCTATGAAGCCATTATACAGATGAGGAAACAGGCTCAGAGAGGCTAAGCATGTTGTTCAAGGTCACACAGCATGGAAGAGGCAAGCCGACTGACTCCAGAGCCTTAGCTTTGTGCCAGTCAGAATGGAAAAGAACTCCAAAAGACACCAACCTGGTTTATTCAAGTGCTGGCATGTAAGGATAAGGAAAAGCAGCCATCAGTTTGAATGACAGGCGATGGGTCCGGAGTAATTAGCCAAATGTATGAAGATTTCACCATTTCTAAACCATCCTGTTATATGACCACACATACCATCTTCATGGAAGTGCAGTAGCATCACCATGACAACTACTTTTGTGTTTTTACCTCTAATGTAATCGATTGTATTTTAAAATATTTTTAAATGAATAAAAGCTTTTGAATTTAATGTTTTAAGTAGGTAATACTTTCACCTGGTTAAAAACTCAAAAAGCTCGAGAGGCATAAAGTGAAAGGCCTCCTTCTCACCCCGGCCCCTGCCATCCTCTTCTCACAGTCAGCCAATGTTGCTAGTTTTGTGGGGAGGGGAAGAACTGATACTTTTTGAAAGTAGAAAGAGTGTGCTTGATTTGTTCTGAGGTCACAAGCCATAAAGCCCACCTTACTCTGGTTGATTTCTTCAGGTCGGCCTCAGCCTGATTTCCTGTACCCTTTGAGGCACTGCTGCTTCCTGCAGGTGATGGTTAGTCCCTTAGGGAGATGGTCAGTCCCTTCTCCCTCTGAACTTTCCCCTGAGGCACCCCCTTCAGTACCCGCTATGCTCCTGACCACATTCTCTCTGGCCTCTAGGCCTGACTGGTTCTCCATCCCCCAGAACCTGCAGAGCCTGTAAATGCCAGAGAAATCTCATCATCTCACACAGCTGATGTGGTAGAGGTGGACCCAGAGGTCACACCTGGGTGGCTTCAGGCTATATCTAGCCTATGAGATTTTTTGTTCTTTTTTGGTCTGCACAGTGATGTCAGAATTGGAAATCTTCACCTGAAAGTCCAATTTTCTGATTTCACTTGAAATATTGGCAGACTCAGCCACACTGAACCCATACTGATGCATGATGATGACAGCTGGAGCTGAGCAGCAGTTGCTCCCTTGAGAAGGAGCACAAGCTCTCTGGGTTGTATGGTCCCCGCCACTCTGGGTTGGTTAACATGGTAGGCAGGATCATAGTCACCTCCAAAGATGTCTGTGTCCTAATCCCTATAATTTGTGAATGTACTGTTACACGGCAAGTGGGAATTAAGTTTGCAGATGGAATGAAGGTTGCTATGCAGGATTATCTAGGTGGGTCCAATGGAATCAGAAGGGTCCTTAAAAGTGGGAGAGGGCAGCAGAAAAGAGTCAGAGAAAGAGAGGCAACCACGAAAACAGGGTCAGAGAGATGCCATGTTGCTGGCTTTGAAAATGAAGGAAGGGGTCACAACCCAAGGAATGTTGGCAGCCTCCAGAAGCTGGAAAAGGCAAGGAAATCAATTATCTTCCAGATTCTCCGAAAGGGAAGTCCCTGCAAACACCCTGATTTTAGCCCAGTGAGATCAGGTTGGTTTGAGAGCATAAACTTAAGTTGTTTTAAGTGACTAAGTTTGTAGTCATTTTGTTATAGCAGCAATAGAGAAGTAATACAGTTAATATGGGCCCTTGTAGGTCTCCAGGGATGGGGGAGTGGGGCACAGCTGTGAGAGCTGTTGTAAGTGTGCAAGACTCATAGCTTAAAGAGCTCGGTAAATGGCCATGAATGTTCTAATGAATAGGCGTAGCAGGCGGGTTCTGGGCAGAGTAGAGATATGGGTGACCCTTGCTTTGGTTTTTTCTCCCTCCACTCTTGTGACACCCTCTGCCCAGTTTCCTTCACAGCCCTGGGGCTTGCTGAGAGAGCCGGGCTGATATGTCAGGCCTTCAGCATTGAGTAGGGCAATCACTTAGCAAGTTGGCAGGTCTCAGCAGCTGGTGGAGGAATCTGGGCTCTGACTGAGGACAGGATTAGAGGTCAAAGTGGGAAAGTAGGGAATAGGCCCCAGACTGAGTAAAAAGACCAGGAGAGCTGAAGGTGGGGGAGGGTCAGGAGCAGGTTCTGAAAGGGGGTGCAAAGCTAGGCAGGGCCCAGACTTGAGGCCTGTTCTAGGTGGTGCTGGCTGGTAGGGGAATGACTGATGGTCTAGGATTGCTGAGGACAACTGTGCACCTGCCAGCACTGTCCTAAGCCTGCCTCTGAACACTAAGCTGTCAGCCTCTGTTTACCTTCCACTCTCAGTATAACCTGCATTCGGCCTATTTGTTGGGAGGCAACTGAAAAACTAATTTATCCTGAATTATTCTTAGTGACTGATAGTGGCTTACTGTGTCAGATACTTGCCAAGGAGATTCATGTTGAAGTGCATATCATTTTAACCTAAAAAGATGAAGTGCATTTAAGGTAGCAGTGTCTGAGAAGGAAAACCTCATGGCTACTGGTGGTGGGGGGTGGCAGGGAACATAGGATGTCACACGGTGGACAGCCTTACCTGCTCACAGGGCTGTACACCCCCAGGAGGTCTCTCATATTCCAGCCCCCATGTCCTTAAGTCTCTTTAGATTTTTTTCACCTGGGCTTTCATTACAATTCTTTTACTTTCCGTGTTTCCTGGGTAAGCTTGTTTATATATTTTTAGCAAACATTCATGTAACACTATGTGCCAGGCACCATTCTAAGTGCTTTACAAATGTTTATTTAGGTAACAGAGGTACTGTTGCCTCCATTTTACAGATAAGGAAACTGAGACACAGAGAGGCTAATTTGCCCAAGACCACGTGGCTAGCGAGTGGCTACACTTTCTGAGCCTCGGCTTTCTTGGCTGTTAAATTGATATGTATATACAAGCGCCCTCTGCATAGCAGGGCTTCTCAGACCCAACACTATTGACATTTTGGGCTGGATAATTCTTTGTTGTGAGGCTGTCCTGTGCATTGCAGGATGTTTAGCGGTATCCCTGGCCTCTACCACATAGGGTATTCACTGCCAAGAGATGCCAGTAGCAACTCCCACTCAAGCTGTGACAAACCTAAAATGTCCCCTGATCTTGCCAAATGTCCTCTGGGGGCAAAATCAACCCTAGTTTAGAACCACTGCCTAATAGGATCCTGGGGAGGATTAAATGAGCTATTTCATATAAAATACCTTCCGGCAATCCCTTCCCCATTCCTTCCATAACTCTATGGTGAGTTCTAACTCCTCAGAACCCTCTTGTTCTTTCTGTTCCTCTACTGTTTGGAAAATGTGCCCACCTATGGAGACTGGGTGCTTGAGAGCTTCTTGCAAATCCAAAGCTGTTCCAGGAGCTAGACCTGATTCCAGTCCTGTCATTTCCACAGACATGCTGTGGGACCTTGGCTGAAGTCCTTCCCCTCCTTGAGCCTCGGTTTCCCCATGTGTACGAGGGGGCTGACCCAGAAGCTTTCCGAAAGGTCTTCTCACTGCAGGAATCAGTGACTGGGTGATTCATACCAAGTGCAAATTCCCCTCACAAAGTCCAAATTCTTCCAGCGACTTAGTCATTCCAGGGTTTGAACTTTCTCGCAAAAACCATTTGAAAAATTCTTCCAGCTTAAAAAAAAAAAAAAAAAGCTATTAAAAGAAAGTAAAAGTTTCAAAACCAAATCCTAGGCAAACAACCCTGAAAACAATACACACACATACATATACATACAGCACCCAAGGTAGCTCTGAGAACAGGATATGAAACCTTGCAGGCCGGCACTAAGAAATGATTCACAGGCCTTTGAGATGCTTCTATTTCAAGACACAGTCCACCCACTGGATCTGGTGGCTCCAAAAACAAACTTTCAGCTGCTGTTTCTTATCGCAGTGTGGTTCGCCTGGCCAGTATCCTTGGGTCTCAAGAGCTCCAGACAGAAGACAAGGTTGAGTCCTGTGAATTCCCTTTCTGTTCTATTTCAAGCCTCAAGCTGCTGGCTTGTTTAAAGAAAGTCTTTTGCATCCACCTTTTGGTTGGCTGACCCGAGTTTAAAGCAACATAGCCTAATGGGTTCGTAGCACAGCCTGCGAATTCATAATTTTAGTTTAGCAAGGCCTCTGTGTGGCTCCAGCAAGTCCTACTGGATCCTGGGCTGGTCATTCTAGAAGCTGTCTCCAGCTAAACAATCCTGCCTGGCTTTCCTTATACATATCAATATTATACTTGCCCTAGGCCAGGATTAAGAATTTTAGCACAAATTCAAAATTTCATGCTTTTATGTAAAATAGAAATATAAAAGTAATTCATTCGATGAAATGCTTACTGAGTGCTCACTATATGCCAAGCACCAGCAATGTACTGGCGATAAAATACAGCCCCTGCCTTCAGGAGCCACATTGAACAGGAAAAGCAGACAATCTAAATATACATAGTAGAAACACATGGAACTATTCCCTATGGGAAATGCCCTGCATAAAAAGTGATACCAAAGTTGGAGCAAAATTGAAAGAAATGCAAATGCTTGTGATACGGTTAAGTACATTTTCATCTGTACTTACCCTTGATTTTGTTTTAGATTTAGAAAATCTTGAACTTTCACTGTTGCTTCATTTGCCCTCCAAAAATCCAGAATCTTACAGAAAGGGTCAGTGTCTGGATCAAACATGTTTCTTATCTAATTTCCTTGCCCCAGTTTTTGTTTATGCCATCATTGCTGCATGGAGTCCTCCCTCCTCTCCTTGTGTATCCTCCAAGTTCTGATGCAAAGCCCACTTCCTCCAGGAAGCATTCGCAGACCCATCTGGCCACATCCTCGCTGTTCTCTAAACACACATATCTCATGCTCTTGACTTGGCCTTTAGCCTGTCCTGCCTTATGATCTCTCTTGTACTTCTGTCCTGAAGTTTTATCTAACTTATGAATTGGGGGAAAGAGGACAGGCACTGACATTTATTAAGTGTTTTATTGGTGACGGGCATTTTGCTAGCTCTTTACTGTATATAATGTGCCTGGTATGTAGAAGATGTTCAATAAATATTTGTTCAACGAATGCTTCAGTGATTTGGCTTAAACCTAACAATAACCCTATGAGACCAATTCTATTAGTATTCCCATTTTACAGATAAGAGAACTGAGGCACAGACAGGTAAAGTCTGCATTTGAGGGCTTTCTGTCTTAAAAGTTGAAGTTCAGACTTTCTCTTCTTCTCTGTTGCTTTTTTCTGCAAATAGATTTCCCTGAAGTGTCTTGATTAATTAATAGGACATATACTGTGCTCCCTGCTTTATCCCATCTCAGGCAATATTACCTGTTCTCTCCGTTGTGAGCCCATATTTGTATTTCTACAGTTAGTTTAGAAACCACTCTGCATCAGGCGTGGTGACTCACGCCTATAGTCCCAACACTTTGGGGAGGCTGAGGCGGGTAGATTGCTTGAACTCAGGAGTTCGACATCAGCCTGAGCAACATGGCAAAACCCCATCTCTACAAAAAAATGAAAAATTAGCCAGGCCTGGTAGTGCACATCTGTGGTCTCAGCTACTGGGGAGGCTGAGGTGGGAGGATCATTTGAGCCCAAAAGGTGGAGGCTGCATTGAGCGAAGATTGTGCCACTGTACTCCAGCCTGGGTGACAGAGTGAGACCCCATCTCAAATAAAAAAAATCATCACCCCACCATTACCTGTGCCTTGTCTACCTTTCCCACTAGACCATAGGCAGCACTAATGTAGTATGACTGCTGTGCCCCTGGCTGGCACACTGCTCATGCTCAGTGAAGATTTGCTGAGCCAGGGTGGTAGTGGTGGTGGTGGTGGTGATAACAATAGGTTGAGTAGTGATGTTCCCCAAAAGATATGTGTTAATTTTTTTTTTTTTTTTTTTTTTTTTTTTTAGATAGAGTCTTGCTCTGTTGCCCAGGCTGGAGTGCAGTGGTGCGATCTCGGCTCACTGCAAGCTCTGACTCCCGAGTTCACACCATACTCCTGCCTCAGCCTCCTGAGTAGCTGGGACTACAGGCGCCGGCCACCATGCCTGGCTAAGTTTTTGTATTTTTAGTAGAGACGGGGTTTCACCGTGTTAGCCAGGATGGTCTAGATCTCCTGACCATGTGATCCACCTGCCTCGGCTTCCCAAAGTGTTGGGATTACAGGCGTGAGCCACTGTGCCCGGCCAGATATGTGTTAAATTTTAATACCCAGTACCTGTGAATGGGACCTTATTTGGAAATAGGGTATCTAAAGATAGAATTAAGGATC